>NC_000018.10:52431908-52732575 GCF_000001405.40 Homo sapiens | reverse complement strand
CGTTATTGCAGCAGAAAAGCAGCCATAGACAGTGGGAAAAGAAACAGGCATGACCACATATTCCCACCCTGCCCCCTGCTCTAAGGTAATCATCAGAAATGAAAGTAAATAAACAATAAATGAAGTCACATAACGTAATAATAGTTGTGAATATCTTATAATGATTGCTCTACAATACCTCCAGTGAATAAATCGTGGATAAGACACAATCCATGATTATTTTAGAATTCTTTACTTTTTCAAAGCCCTTCTCCCTGGTTATCCAGTGACTTTAGAGTGCTATTAGTACTCTCTCTCCAATCCAAGCCTGCCCTTCCTGGCTGAGTCTTAAATTCTAACCACCTTTTTCTTCTGCTTCTTATTTTTAAAACCCATTCAAAATACCATCACTTCGTGGGTATGTATGGGAGGAGTCAGTAGCTTTTACCCACATTAAGGAATGATTAGCTAAAACAACTTAATATGGCAACCTCAAGAGTTAGGATAGTCTAGTAGAAGTCTAGGCTTCCTTAAATTCAGCACCCATTTATTGAGTTTCTATGCTAGATATTGGGAGTGGGAATTTTTCTAAAACAGCAATGCATATAGAAAGCCGTAAAAAGATTTAGGCTCTAGTAATTCCACTCCTAAGAAGCTATCTCAGCAAAATAATTCAATAGAACAAAAATTACTGTATATACAAAAACAGTGCTCATTAAAATATTTGCTATCATAGCAAATCCAGACAAATAGAAACATATTGATTGTCTGACATTAAGGAAATAAGTAAATCACAGAGCATTATATATTAATATATTAGGAAATAATCAAAATTATCACTGTGAAGACAAGGAAGAAAATGCAGTAATATGCATATAATTGTGGTAGATCTGTGGGTGGGTTTTTTGGGGGTTAAAATTTCCTTCCTGCTGCACCTCAAATAATGTCATGAAGTCAATCGCTGTTTACATATGAAAGATCACTCTACTGTATTAATATAGTATGGTTCTAATATACTATGTCTATGCAGAAATGCTTGTATATGTAAAGAGAAAATACTCTTTGGCTTCCCTGTCCTAAACCCTTTCACTATAGAGGGAGACATGCTGAAACCACTTCATAGGCAAGGTCTCTGTCATGTGACTGAATATCTGTTTTGTAACCATTAACTACACCACCTCTGAAAGACAGCCTTGCAACAGCATTTTCTCTTTGTGCATTTTTTTCCTTTCATTTTGAAGCCTACTCCCTCATTCCTCAGAGGACAGTTAGCAATGCAATAAATTAATTTGTACTTTGGAGTGAACTCTTTAATCCTTTTTGTTCTCTCACCTCCCAATCAAACACATACTCTCACATTTGCATGTATTAACATAATGAAACATTAATTACACAGTGTCTAGGATAGGACAAGCAAAGCGCTTCAATCAATCTCAATAACTCGCATCAGGAAGGTGAAAAACGCTGCCTGGCCTTATCAGGACCACATAATAGACACAAACACAGGCTCAGTGCCTGTTGTGGCTGTGATTTATAGCCAATATCTGAAAACAAAAGGCAGAAAATTATAAGGAGACTAATCAATAACAATTATCTTAATGATAGATGGACAAATTTTATTCTTTTATTGGGTGGTATTGTCAGTCTAGCGGTTTGTTTGCAACAGGATATAATGATTAAGCAGACTTCTCTAGAAAACCAATGAAGTCTGAAAATGCCTAATTCTTGGGGTGCAGTGCATTATTGCGTTATCTGATTTCCCTCAAGAAACTGTAGTGTTTATCAGAACCAGTGAACTTCGAAGGCCTCATACATAGCCCCTCTGTGAGGACTAGGCCAAATATCCTAACCCTTCCAGATTCCAGTTTGTCTTCCAGGTCTCTCCCCACATATAAATGTTCATCTGCTTAAGAAGGTTTGAATTCAGCCAGTGTCAGCTTGCATGGTCATGCTGTACTCATAGCCAGCATCAGCTCTGATTGAGTGTCACTGAACAGTGCCAGTCGTTAACTATAGAAAACAAGTACACAAGGGTTCCATGTTTGGAATCCAGGATTTACAAACATCTGCAATAGTTCACATACTTTGAAAGAGTTTTTTGCAAATATCAACCATGGTGATATATAGGTATTTCTTCTTAGAACCATGGTAGATCAATAAGAAAAAAAGAAAAGGGAAGAACAAAGTAAGCTGTTGCATTCCTCAAAGTTCATGCACCTAGGCCATGGTTTCTCAATGGTGGCACTGTTGACATTATGGGCTGGATAATTCTTTGTTGTGGGGAGCTGACCTGTGCATTATAGGATGTCTAACACAGTCTGGTCTTTACTCACTAGATCCCAGTACCTTTCCCTTCTCCCTCTCCAGTTGTGACAACCAAAAATGTCTCTGGACATTGCCAGTGTTCTCTGGTGTGGGAGGGGCAAAATCATCCCCAGTTGAGAACCACTGCCCTCTACTCTTACATAATCATAGGTAATATTCATTTTTTTAAAAAAATCATTGAAACAAACTGCAAGTAATTACCAGGTTATTTAGAAGTTTTGCTATTAAGTATTCTTTGAAATAAGTGGATTTTACTCAGTTTTTAAGTCAGTGCTTCAAGACATTTATAAAACAATGAAAGCCAGGAAACCTGAATTCTACTCCTGATGATTTCATCCTGATTGTGTGGCCTTGGGCAATTCTCTCTTTTTCATGTCTCTGTCTTCCTCTGAAAGTAAATAACTTGGATAAGGTGATTTCTAAGATCCTTCCAGGTCTAGTGTTCTGTGGTTCTACCCTTAGATTTGCCTCTTATGGATTAACATTCTAACCAGGAACATCCACATGCTTCTTAAATATCCATTCTACTGTGGGCCACAGCTCTCCATTCAATCCCTCTTGCTCTGAAAACAGTAAATATTTCTTTCACTGACTTTAGCATTATCTAAAACTTTAATCCCACAAGAAGAAATAATTTGGTGTGTTAAAATTTGAATATATAACCCAGCAAAGAGATAGTTCCTGTTTTTGTGCATTGAAAGAGAAGACAAATGGCTGGGCATGGTGGCTCAGGCCTGTAATCCCAGCACTTTGGGAGGCCAAGGCAGGTAGATCATTTGAGGTCAGGAGTTCGAGACCAGCCTGGCCAACATGGTGAAACCCCATCTCTACCAAAAATACAAATATTAGGCAGGTGCAGTGGTGGGCACCTGTAATCCCAGCTACTCAGGAGGCTGAGGCAGGAGAATCACTTGAACCCAGGAGGCAGAGGTTGCAATGAGCCGAGATTGCACCACTGCACTCCAGCCTGGGTGACAGAGCAAGACTCTCTGTCTCAAATAAATAAAAATAAAAGGAAAGAGAAGACAAATGTTAAGGGAATGATGCTTCATTTGGGCTTTCTAGATTTAGGCATAATCACAAAGCAAGCGAATAACAAACAACAACAATAAAACAGAATACTAAATTCAGCCCTACCTACTGCCTATTTCAGTAAAGCTTACTTTTCTCTCTTATAACAGTTTCATTCAAAATAGAGATTATGCTTAAATTTTTAAAAAAGAACCAAAACAAATTCAATTGTTAAAATCCGATTTTCCTGAATTTGACCCTGTAGGGAGCCCGGTCTTAGAGGTACATGCTTTTTGATTTGTTTTCAGAGCCCATTAATATTTCTAATCACTTCTCCAAACAGACACTATTCACATAGATCCCTGGAGAGTGTAGAGACCAATCTGCCCTTTTGACAGCTGTCGAATCCTTGTTTGCATGAAGGATGCAACAAGTCAATGAAATCATCCTTCAGGACTCTAAGCACTGTCAACTATTGGCTATGGAGACTCATTCATCCGTAGGCCCTCATTTGGGCTCTTTCATAACTGATATGTTAGCTTGTGCATTCCTGCAATTGCTCATGTGAGTACAAAATAAAATGACATAACAGAGGCACATTGTAATTCTCTACATCCAGAGACTCAGATGACCTGCCTGCCAATACACCACAGTATGTTCCCATTTACAATGCATCTATCTTAACAAAGAGTTGAGGAAATGATCTCTCATATGGGTTGTACTTGTCTCTTTTCATTACCTCTCAGCATTCCTGGAAGATGCATCAAAATACAATGATCTTTATATTTTCATGTATAACAATCTTGGGAGAAGAAAGGCAAACTACTTTGCCCTAAGAGATGGAGCACATAAGCAATAACAGTACAGGGAGAAATCTTCAGTCTGCCTACTCGGTGAGAGATCTCCTAAATGCCTCTACCCTTGAGCTGCCTCTGAAAAGATAAAGAACTTTATTTCTAAAGCCACAGGGAATGAATAATTTATAACAGTAACAACTACTGAATGCTTTTTAGTAGCTTATTATCTCTTCACAATAGTTCTGTATTTCATTCATTGAGAGAGATTGAGAGAGAGAGAGAGAGAGAGACGGGGCCCACAATCATAATTAAATAGGAAAGGCAATTCCCTCATCAATACAAAATTTATATTGTTTTATGGATACACACCAACACCCTGAAAACAAAATTCCTTTAGTGTAATCCAATCACTGACCAAGAATTGGAAAAAAATTTGTTTATCGTTAGGTGAATAAATTGTATCACTATAATGAAATGGGAGAGTTGGGAAAATAAACAGCTAATTCATTGCAAATGCAAAACCACTCTTTCTCTATGAAATGAAAGCCACAATAAAGCTGATGGACCATGGATTATGAATACATTGTTCTGGGTTTTCAAAACCCAAAGATATTTTAAAAACCATAATCCAAACATAACCAAACCATAAAGCATCCAATAACAAATGTGTACATTTCAGCCCTGCCATTCCAGCCGGCACCACCAACAAAATCCCTGCTTCATGCTCTCCTGACCAGCTGTATTTGGTTACACTTCATGAAAAGTCACAATTTCCAGGTATCATTTTCCTTTGATTCACTGGATTTTGCAATTTCAACATAAAGAAATTAAAATTTAAAAATAAATAAATAGAAGTATCTATGGGTTATAAACTCACAAGCTCAGCAGTTTTAATGTTTAAAATAAATGTTTAATGTCCAACTGCAGGATAAGGTGATATTACAAATGTGGATCATTTTCTTCTCTGAGATGAACAAAGCAAATAAGAAAAGGAAAAGCAATCAAAGTTTCAGGATCCTGAAACTCTGTTATTCATTACACTGTCAGCTTCATGTTGAAACAGGTCATCACATTTCAAAGTCCTTATCCTAACTCTTGGAAACTTTCTAATTTATTAGCCCAGAATGGTCTCAGAAAACTAAGAAATTTCCCATTGAACATATTACAAAAAAGAATTGGTCAGTCACAGTTATTTTAACAAAAATAGTACTATTTTCATTTTCAAATGACAGTAAATGGCTGAAAGACATCACCTGTTTTCAAGGTAGGGAAAAGTAATTTTTCATTTCCATAACCAATCACTTTGGATTTCCATTTCTTATAGCTTTCTATTGACTGTGATATATCTATTATTGCTGTGACAATCTATCTACTGACTCCAGCATCATATTCAAGAACTGGCTTTTATCAAACCATCTGAGTTATATGTGAGACATCCCTACTTATTAGACTCTTAGAAAACATCCAGAGATTTCCTAAGCCAGAGAAATTTTAAGCATTAGGAGTTTTCCAAAGCTGGCAGCTTTCTTTTCATAACTATAATTAATACTGATGATAACACCAATAGCAGTTTCTATTGAGTCATTTCTAAATCTGCTACTCACTATGTAGAATAGCTTATACATGACCTAGAATATTCCTCACATCTGATCTATGATTTGGCTAGCTCCATTTTACAGATGAGTAATTTTTGGGTCAGAGAGACCACATAGCTTGGCCATAGTCATTCATCCAGTCAGAGGCAGAGTCAGAACATGAACTTGGTTGAGTCTTCCTGACTTCAGAGCCTGTGCTTTTGATCAAAGTATTACATTTGGAGTTGGGAGACCTGGGTTTCAATGCAAAAACAATAAAATGTAATATAAAATTAAAACATTGTTTCTGCCTTAAAAATATTTCCAAATAACTAGAGAAGGAAGGGAGAAGTATATAAATAATGCTGGAGAATCAGGTGCATTGTGAGACCAGGCAGGTGGGGTGTATGGAATAATACTTTTTAAAAGTGACTAACAGAAAAAGTGTGAGATGATGCTACAAATAGTGAAATCAATTAAAATGAAGGTACCATGGTGGAAAGAGATGAGGTTTAATAGAAAAATCACAATTACTACGCAAGAATCACTAGATTCTTCCAGGAGGAGGCAAATTGCTGGATTACAGAGAGAAAGGATAGTGGTTAAGATTGCAGACTCCGGAGGCAAGCATATCTAGATTTGAACCTGATCTCTGCCATTGCCAGCTGTGTGTGACATTAGCAAGCCACGTATACTTCTTTTCTACAAAACAGAAACAATGTCACTAGTCATCTGCTAGGGCTGTTGGGAATTAACATATTACCTGTAGTTAGTGTTCAACACTTGGTCATTCATCATGGTCAATATTGGTCAAAATGTGATCACTTGCTATCAGTGTGACCTTGAGCAGTTAGTTTAATCTCTCTGTCCTTCCATTTATTTATCTTTAAAGTGGGAATGATATTAGCAGTTCATTCTGTTTCCCCTAATAAATAAGATAATGTATGTAAGAAGATTTTGAAAAGTGTAAGAGTGTTCATAAGAGCATATAGAGATGTGGTGGTAGATCAAGACCCACTAGTGCCAGGCTAAACCATGAACATTTGATGCGTGACTCAAGTGTGAACTGATCTATACTGATATGTATTTCATTTCCAGTTTATGTTTCCTATCTCAATTGCCTTATCCAGTCTTTTTTTCCTCTGTAATATGTATTGGCTATGCCATCTTAGTCAAAATCATCGACCTTGTTGAACACATTAAGAGTCTTTACTCCTAGTAAGATAAAACCACCCTCTCCCATGAGTCGCATACCTCCTCCACAGGCAACACCTCCCCCACAAACCAAGACATGGTATTTACACCATCTTTCTCATTACGTAGTAACAACTTCAGCTTCTCCCACTGCCTATCACACACTGCCAGCTTCTTTATGTGTGGCAGCCCGCATGGCACAGGCTGTAGCAATAGGTGATATTATTTGGGATCATTGTGCTGTAAGGAATTGCCATATGAACATTATTCTATTATGTCACCGTCTAACCTAATTGACATTCTTGCAAGAACTTGAAGCTTTTGAGCAACTTGTTATTCTCTAATTTTTTCCATTCTGAAAAGACAGAACAGTGACTTCAAGGGGCAGTGCTGGGCACAGAGGGAAATGGAATGTGTACTGATCACTGGCGCTCTCAGCAGTGCTCTGACCCTGGCACACACCAACTTTCTGAGCATTTCATGGTCAGGAGCCCTTTCCCTGAGTCTAGCATTCCTTCCCTCCTGAAAAAGGTGCCTGAGCCTCAGAGGAAGTGTGGCCCTCTGTGGGCAGGTATTTCTTGATCAATCAATCATGACAGACTCTGATTTTTGTGGCCTAGTGGGAAGCTGCCTACAGGGAATGCCTTGAAAGAGATCGGGTAGGTTCCCTGGTGAAGAAAATAACCCTCATAGTTAGCTATTTCTTTATTTGGTGAGAAAGACATTTCATGTGGCCATCAAGCTGAAGTTTCAAATGGAAACATCCCTGGAAGAGAAAACAGTTTTATTTGCCCACAGGTCCATTTCCAAGGTTAGGCTTCCTTAGTAGTGAAGACCAAGACTCCGTCTAGGGGAAGGAATTGTGTAGAATGGGTCAGATGGAGCCAGGTTTACTCACTGTGCTGGTTTACCTGTGCTGAAGCTGTGTGTATAGGGTGTTTGAGTGACATGATGAATGAAAGACAGCCTTTGCTTCAAGAAATTTTAGGCTGCTATGAAAGAGGGAGACAAGTTTTAATAAGCATACAAATGGTTGCCAAAGGACAAAAAATAACCAGGATGTACTGATCATGCTGGTCTGTTGGTAAATCTTAGGAAGATTTCAGGTTCAATTTCAAGTTACAATTTGAAATTGAGGAGAGCTGTAGAGTTCTGAGCAACCACAGGAAATTTAGGCAAATTTTTGGAAATATAGGTACAGGTAAGATAAAACTGGCTATTGAGAAAGGATTAAAAATAAGGTATGAGGCTGGGCACAATGACTCACACCTGTAATCTCAGCACTTTGGGAATCTGAGTTGGGAGGATCACTTGAGCCCAGGAATTTGAGACCAGCCCGGGCAACATAGTAAGACCTTATCTCTATTAAAAAAAATAATAAAATAACAGGATGTGGTGGCACATAACTGTAGTCTCAGCTACTAAGGAGGCTGAGGCAGGAGGATTGTTTAGGCCCAGGAGGCCAAAATTGCAGTGAGTCCTGATTGCACCACTGCACTCCAGCCTGGGCAACAGAGTGAGACTGTATTTTTTAAAAAAGGTATGAGAGGAAGATCTATGAAAACAAGAGAACAGGATCCATGAAAGGTAAAATAAAGTTGATATCTGGTGGTGAAAGTGATGGATGGTCTCTAGAGGTCTGAAATACTCACTATTGCCCCTTTCTGCCTCTTCTCAGGATACTCATCTGTACCTTTGAAGAGTTTCAGCTTGCAGAATCAACTCTTCCCACTTCTGAGACAGTGTTGACAGACTGGTTGTTTATGAGTGGCTCACAGCTGGTGGGGTTAGGTATGAATCATGTCGTCTCCGATCAAGCACTTAGGATGCCTGAGGGTCAGCTTAGGCTCGCCTTTGCCCTTACCTCTCTGGTTCATTTCATCTGTGTAATTTGGGTTTTCAGCATTGCCTTCTTGATTTATGCCACAATTCCTTACTCTGGGATATAAAGACTTCCTTGCATTAGTCTACTTGGCTGGGCCCCTAAAATGCAAAGAAGCCCTTATGAGCCTGACTCCAGCCTCAGACAGAACATTCCAAAGCCATGCTAAGTGATTCATCTGACCTCAGGTATGCTGGCTGCAGGGCCCTCCCACAGCCAAGCCTCACCCTCTGTAAGTTAGATGAATGCTTTAAATATGGTGTTCGTGTCCCTTTGGGAATGGTAATTAGGTCTGAGGGACGGCTGAAGCCAAACCTGCTCTTTTCTAGGTTTTCCTCCTTTACATTCTAGCCTACTGTTGGCGTTCTACAATGCCTTGGTGTTCTGGCTCCTCACTGATCTGCAATAATTATCCTAGTAGGCAACAACAGACAGGGTTTGTGTCATCCTTAATGGCAGGATCACCAGTAAAGCGTCTGAATGGTTTTTGTGTTGAATTCTGTGTCTAATTTATTACGGCTGCATTTTGGAATATTTTTATTATTATTTACTGCCAATAGAAATATTTCACTTGAATATAAAGACACAGCCTAAGAATTAGAGCAAAAAGACAAACAAACAATATAAGGAGAGTTCAGATCACTGCAGACAAAAGAGAACATCCTATGAATTTCCGGAGAGTGAGAGAAAGGGAGGGAGGGGTAGCGATAGCTAATCTAATAGGATTAGCTACCAGAATTCATCAGACTTTGTCAAAAGCAGCCTTGGAAGCTAGAGGACAATAGAGCTATGCTCTCAAATTCTGGAAGAAAACATTTCCTTACCTAGAGTTGCATACCTAACCAAACTACAAATTAGGTGAGAAAATGGAACCAAAACATTTTCTAACACATAAAATTTTAATTTTAGCTCCCATGAATCCTTTCTCAAGAAGCTACTGAAAAATATAACCCACCAAAAGGAGGGAATACAGCAGACAGGAGAGTCAGGAAGTTGGTAAAGCAGTAAGAAAGGGAAGTACAGGAAATCCTCAAAATGGTGGTGAAAGGAGACCCTTAGTGACTGCACTGCTCAGTGTGTAGCAGCCAACCCATCCAGGTGAGGGCAGGTCAGGAGTCTCTGAGAGTTCCTCAAAAAGAAGAAATGGACAGATGCGTCTGAACAATTGGGAGGACATTTATTATTGCAAAAACCGCCATTACTTTTGCACCAGTCGAATAGGCAGATGATGAAGACTTAAGTATGTTAAAGCTATGAAAACAAAGCACAAGATAATTATGAATTCTGGAGTGGGGGTTGGGAGAGTGGAAATTATACTACATAAATAATAACCATAGTATGTTCTAACTCAGTAGTGAGAACACTGAATATTGATCTAAACAAATTAAGATATAACTTTACTGGGAGTCTGAGGATGAGAAGGAATATTGAGGGTGGAGGTGAATGGTGAAAGGTAGGAAAGGAAGCCATCTCTATCTCTGCCACAGATGGAAGTTAGCAGATAAAGCCTAAGCTGGAAAAAAGTTTAAAAAGGAACAATATAAGCATGTTCCTTAGAGATATAGAGCACAATTCCCTAATAAACTTGTATTGAAATTCAAAGTGGTTCCTTTTGGGAGGGGGAGTAGACTGGAAGTGGAACAGCAAGGGAATGATGTTTTGTAGCAAGCCTTTTAGAATTCTAGAGCTCTTTAATCCATGTGCACCCACAATTGTCATAGACATGAATGCAATGTGCATTTTACCTACTTTATTTTATTTACTTATTTATTTATTTTATAAATTTTTTTGAGGCAGAGTCTTACTCTGTGGCCCAGCCTGGAATGCAGTGATGCAATCTCGGCTCACTGCAACCTCCACCTCCCAGGTTCAAGTGATGCTCCTGCCTCAGCCTCCCAAGTAGCTGGGATTCAGGTGCCTGCCACCATGCCCGGCTAATCTTTGTATTTTTCATAGAGATAGGTTTTCACCATGTTGGCCAGGCTGGTCTGGAACTCCCAACCTCTGGTGATCCACCTGCCTCGGCATCCCAAAGTGTTCAGATTACAGGCATGAGCCACTGTGCCTGGCCATTTACTTACTTTAAAAAAGTGATTTGGGGTACCTCTGTAACCAAGAGACCATCATCTTTAGAGAAAAATTAGGGGGCTTAAGGGGCATGAAAGAGGAGAAATGTTGTGATATGTGCCTTAGTGAAGTCCTCCTCACTGTGCCTTAGGAAAAAGGCCCATTGTACATTGGAAGATAAATCAGATTATCTCTTTCTAGGTAAGATATTATCTAGGAGTTAAAAGTTGGCTTCACACAAGTCGGATTTGTCTTCATAAAACCCAGTGCCTAGTTGATAAAGTCAAATCTGACCTGATAGTTTATATTTGGAACAAACAGAACTGTAACCCCTCACTGTCCTGTTAGGCACAGTCAAAGTTTGTTTATAATATCATTATTTTGAGAATTTTTTGAGCTTGAAGGGAAAACAGAAGGAACAGCCCAACATTAAATTACTCACTTGAATGACTTTCCAAATTGAAATCACAAAGATTGCAAGTATAGAGTTGTAACTACACAGGAATCCATTGGAAATAATTTCAGATTCGAACATTGCCATACGGTCCTGTTGATTTCAATGGAAACAACTTACTCATGTGGATAATACTAAGCAGATGGGCACTGAGGCCCTCTGCTAAGGCCTTCTCTGCCCCAGCCCACCTCTCAAACCCAGATTTTTCCTACATTATCTGTAGGGATCATACACTGCACATCTTTTTAAGGGGATGGGGAGGAACTGAGGTTGGAATGGTACACACGCACGTAACACTAGGTATCCTTCAGACAAGAGGGCTTCGGCTGGGAAGACAATGTGATTCTTCTATAAGGTGATTATCTGCAAGGAGGATGAACTCATTTGCCAGAGTCTGTTGTGAACATTCTCCCAGCCAATGACACAAGGAGTAGGAAACAGCAGCATGTTAAGAAATCCCGAGGAAGGGGTCCCATGTGCACCTAGTACATCAAACAGACTTGTACCTGCAAGTACAGAATTGGTAACCACACAGGAAGAGCTCTGTGTCACAAGTTAAATGGTCATACAAATTATTTTCATAATTAGAACACACCTTTCCTTAAATTTCTCACCTTTCATCTCCCCTTCATTCACCTAAAGTCTAGATCCTCCCTAGATAGAAAACAAAGGTTGTTGTCCAAGACTGCTTCAATTGAGATTTAAAAACAGTGTGCCACACAGCTTCCTGGTGGTGTATACTGGGTACTCCGTGGGTTCAGAGGTATCATGTGCCAGTATTTCTAGGTCTGAGAGACTCTCACTTCTCTAGGAGGCCCTTCCCATCCTGTGTGATAGCACTTCCGGATCTTAACTAGCTAACACCACGGCCATGTTAGCACATGCTCATCTGCATATATCAAATTCTGGATCTACATTCCAAACCAGAAAATAATTTCAAAAATTTAACAACAAATGAGCATAGAGCGCTCATAGAACTCAAGTAAAACCCCCTTTGTTAGTTTTAGATAAGAGCTACTTGAAAATTAGTTCTATTTCATCATTTTGAAAGTCAATTCCATATGGATGATGGAGCTCTACAGATCTCTATTGAGCCATGCTTGCCTCTCAGCCTAGGAAATACACTGGTCAGCTGACTGGCTGCAGTAGCAGGAATATGTTTCTAATGGTTCCTGGCACCAGGGTCTCTGCTCCAGCTGCCTGCGCCACCGTATCATACCTAGCCTGCTGGGGTCACTTTTTGGTCCCTCCTTTCTCCACATCAAGCAGGAGAGTCATCTTAAAATAGAATTCAGAGCTTGCCATTCCTCTTCTTCTAACTTTCTGGGTCTTCTTGTTGAAGGGACCCCCAAATCCTGACTGTGAACTGCCAGGGGTTCATGAGGCTCCAGGCACCCACTCCTTATCCCATGCCCTGCCGGGCCTTGCTCACTGTATCCTAGCCACAGCGACCTCCATCCCGCCCCTTGAACTCACCACTCTGCCTACCTGGAGTGTTATTCTCCAGTCGGTACCTGGCTAACTCCTACTCATCCTCTGGTTTCAGCTTAAATATGATTTCCTCTGAGAAAACTTTTCTGACAGACCCCACATCAAAAGCTGGGCCTCTTCTCAATATAATTCTCTCTAATGATATGCCGCACTGTATTTTTCAATAATTTGCAGTGATCTTTTTTTTTTTTGTTCCTTAGATTAATATTGATCTCCCCCGCTGGACCATAAGTGCCATGAGGATGGTCTCTGTTTCTTTATTTTGCTGCTCTACACTCAGTACCTAACAGAGTGCCTGGTATAGCTCAGGGCCCAGTAATAATTCACTGAACGAATGGACGTGTGGATAACCTCCCCGTCGGAGCCCTCACCCTTCCTGAGAGTGGACTCAACGCTTTATTCTCTCAACACTCACTTTGCATTTATTGGATATCCTACAGGTTTTTAATGTTGATTTTTTTTCTTTTTCTTTCCAAGAAGGTGTTGGCAATAGTTTGAATACACTGTCATCCCCCAAATTATATCCTCCTGGAACCTCAGACTGTGATGTTATTTAGAGATAAGGTCTTCACAAACATAATTAAGGATCTCAGGATGAAATCATCCTGTGTTTAGGGTAGGCCCTAAATCCAATGACTAGTGTACCTGTAGGAGGAAGAAAGGACACAGAGACACACAGACATGCAGGGAAGAAGGCCACAGAGGCAGAGGTTGGAGTGATGCAGCTACAAGCCAAGGAGTCCTAAGGGTGGCTGGGGCCATCAGGAGCTGTAAGAGACAAGGAGGGATTCTTCCCTGAGTTTTCAGAGGGAAAATGGACCTGCTGACATCTTGATTTCACACTTGAGGTCTCCACAGCTGTGAGAGAATACATTTCTCTTGTTTTAAGCCATCCAATTTGTGAAATGCCTTAAAAGACCAATACAAGTGTCCTAAAAGGATTGCTATTTTTCTTTAACCTTTAGGACTTGCCTTCACAAAGTTACCGAAGAAGAAACTGACACAGAGATGAGGGCCCATATTTAATAAACATTGTCTATAAACGCCTAGAGAATGGTAGAAACAGAATCTTGGAATTACATGGGACATTGTAGATAATTTTGTTCAACGTCTCTGCGATATAAGCAGCCTCTGCAGAGCATCCCTTCTAGATTATTCTCTGGCCTCCAGTAGATGACAGGAAGCTCACTATCCCACAGAGCCACACGGAGGCAGGGCTTTTAAGGAAAACAACCTACGTGCCATGTAACTAAGAGCAGACCATTAGACTAGCCCTCTCTATATTGTTGCAGATACCACGTGCTTTCAGAGCTTCAAAGAAATAAGGCAGCTTCAAAGAAATAAGGCAACTTCAAAGGGTGGCAATGCTGTGGTCTAAATGCAGACAAAACCTTGCCCTGTCATCCTTAAACCAAATTTGATTTTTGCAAGGAAAAAAATAGAAATACTATTCACTGACATAATTTTATTCAATTATCTCTGCCCAAATACCTGTGGCACCTGAAGAATAGAATGAATTTTCATACTTGTGACCAATACCCCAGTCAAATTAAATCAAATCAACTAATTTTTTTAGCACCTTCTTACTTTCTGATAAATGTCTTCCTGAAGCAAAACACTTACCTAGAAAAGTAAGCTTGCCATAGCATACAGCTCAATAAATCTTACCAAAGTGAGCCAGCTGTACGGCCAACATTCAGATGACAAACAGAAACTTCTGTGTATCCAGAAGTCCCACTCATGCCTCCTTGCAGTCATTGATAATCCCAATGGCAGCTAATCTCCTGAGCTGTCACTCATTAGATTAACTGTGCTGAGGTTTTGGTTTCAGGCGTTTGGTTTTTTGTTCTTTTGTGTGTGAGGTAAAATAGACATACTATAAAATTTACAATTTTAACCATTTTTAAATGTATCTTTCAGTGGCACTAAAAGTTCTGCCTGTTTTTGAATTTTATGTATGTGGACTCATGCAGAATGTACTTTTGGGTACTGCTTCTTTGATTTGGCAACCATTTACATCATCTCATGTTTCTGCAAAGACAGTTAAATAAATATGTCTTTTAAGTATTTTATCTGTGGAAGAACAGCACCAGCGAAACCCTAAGATGGGTGGTATTCTGGGTTAAAAGTCCGCTGGAGACATGTAATATGTTTGTCCATTACATATAAAGGTAGTTTTGAGGCTCTCAAAGTTCTCCCTTAGAGACCACCTGTACTCTCTGGATGACTGTTCACTGCTTGTGTTTTCTGAGCATCTGAATGTTAGTATCTGCTGCCACAGTGAGAAGCATTGTGGCTGAACACTGGGCTGGGGGTAGCAGAAGCCCATAAAGAATGAGCTTCCTTTTTTTGGAAAAAAAAAAAAAAAAAAGAAATTTAGAAATTCTCTTAATTTAGAAAGAGGTAAGGAGTGGCCCGAGCCTCAAGTACTATCACTATGCCTGTTAAATGAATGATAAGCTACCCTATAAACCTGAGCTGCTGATTTATAATGCATGCTGTTTTAAAGGTTATATGACATACAGTTTAATGACCTAAAATAAAACACTTTTATTTAGCTTTATGGGCCTTGTTCTACTAAATATCACATTCCCCTCTGCACCAAAGGTTGTGGAATAGTCTCTTCCTCATCCTGTTTACAAATCTAGACAACTCTCGGTCAATCTGCAGAAGCTCAGTGGACTTCTGTTCCCAGGAGCCCTCTTGCGGTCAGTTCTCAGCAGGGAGAGGATTCATTCATGTGGTCTGATACTTGCTACACTTTACTGGACACAGATGAATAGGCAGAACATACTTGGCAGGCAGGAGGGGCGAGGGGAGTAGTATAATATTTTGGATCTTGGTCACTTGTAATTCCATTTAGCCTCCCATCTGTGAGCCCATCCTCTTCCCTGTTTTTAATGCCTCAGGGCCATCTTTAAAGAACAATCAAAAAGTGCAAATTTTAGAACAGTTTCAAGATGAAAAAATGGTTACCTATCACTGAAATAGTAGAATGCTCAGAGAAACTGAAGGAAAGTCAAATCATATGCATAAATAAGGAGGACTACAGGGAGCTAGGACATAGTCTTTATGAGGCTCATGGAGTTAAACGGAAGATGCTGATATTTTTCCACGACAGTCCAGTATAAAATCCTATCTTCATCCCTCTTCCAGGTGAAGCCTTTTCTTGACAGCCACATCATCTGTATGGACATGGGTAATTGTATGGTGTTCTTAATTAGGCATCAGACTTACTTATATTCACCATCTATCACACAAAAGACCATGCCAAGTACAAGAGTCAGAACCTCAATCACAAGCCACATGTAAGAATACCAAGGTTTCAACAAGCAGAGCAGCTGCCACAGTCACATCCCTTTATGTCTTCAAGAGCTTCCTCCCCTGCCCACCAGTGAAGTCAAAGGCCCTCCTCTTCCCTTTACTGTCCGTCATGGGTTGACAAGTGAGCAAGAGGACAGTTTCAGAATTGTGTTGCCCAGAAAAGCCCTGCTATCAGGGAACAATCCTGCGATTTTCTGTTGCCCAGAAAACCGCCAACGTGCCAGATTACTTGTTCCACACGCAAAGAAGGAAAGAAAAGAGGAGCCCCCTGGGATCTCGCTGCTCTGCAGCAGTCAGACATAGCCTGCGGGTATGGGGCAGGCAGGCCAGGGCCTTGCAAGGGCCCCTGCAGAGGAATGAGTCAGAAAACAGTAAACTGAGAGCAGCTGAACACTGCAGTGGCTCCCAAGGTCTGAGCAGGGATCATAGAGTTGAAGAGCAAGAAAGGATTCCTTCTTTTTACAGATGAGGAAACAGAGGCACTGAAGGGTAAGTTGTATGCTGAGATCACAGACCTGGTTAGGGCCTGTGAACTCAGGCCTAACCTGAGTTCACAGAACTCAGATAGAAGGAGAACTCAGATAGCCTGAATTCTAAGCCAGAACTCCTTCTCCTGCATGTATGAACTAATCCAGAAAAGACAGCTCCTTCAAGAAGGAATCAGTATGGAATGTCAGTGGGTGACAGGGGTGGGAAGAGGATGGTAGATTGATGACACATTAAGGCTCTGTATGAATGGCCAAGAACCCTAAGCACAGCCAACATACTGGCCTAACCCAATTCACTTTTAGGAGTGCCGTTTTAGTTGGGGCTAAAGGACTGCAGGGATTCCCAGCAGCCCTCGGAAGTCAGCCTCAGAAAAAATGTAGTGCTGGCCGGGCGTGGTGGCACATTCCTGTAATCCCAGCATATTGGGAGGCTGAGGCAGGCAGATGACTTGAGGTAAGGAGCTTGAGACCAGCCTGGCCAACATGGTAAAACCCTGTCTCTACTAAAAATATATTTAAAAAATTAGCTGGGTGTGGTGGCAGGTGCCTGTAATTTCAGCTACTCAAGAGGCTGAGGCACAAGAATCACTTGACCCCAGGAGGTGGAGGTTGCAGTGAGCTGATATCATGCCACGGCACTCCAGCCTGGGCAATAAAGTGACACTTGGTCTCAAAAACAACAATAAAAAAAAAAGAAAAGAAAAAATGTAGTGTTTTTTTTTATTTTTTATGCAGGATTGTTTGCTGATAGCAGATATATATATATATTTTATATATACATGATAAAAACGTTTTCTGAGTAATTCTAATCCACAGTGAGTTTTGAGAATCATTGGTATAACCCAACTAGATTCTTTAGAAATAACAAAATAAACCTAAGGAGATTGAGGGACTTTCTGTAATTGCTTTTGTAGATGTAGCAAAGAGAGGCTAGAATCCAGTACTCCTAACTGCTAGTCCAATAATCCTTCCATTATCCAGCATTTCCTCCTATGTAGCGATCATATCTTAGATGGAATAAGGAATTCAATGTGGATAAGATACATACTCCTTGGAGAGAAGCTGGAACTGTCCAACTTCTACAGCAAACCAACAGAAAACTAAACAAACAAATTAGTAAGTTCATTTTGACTATCAAAGACAACATCTTTTATATCCGTAACATTTCTCTTTTAAATAAATGGAATCTCAAAGTAAATTGTCAGAGAGAGAGAGAGGATAGAATTATCGGTATATTAGTATCAACTTGGAAGAATCCTTAATTAACATGCAATCATTGAATCCTTTTAATGGAATAATCAGAACCTAATAGTCAGTAATCCAACATTAGGATTAGGGATGAGTGTGCCTATAAATAATCAGAATTCAAATGGATGAGATGCTTATCCAAATTATTTCAGCCTCTCAACTCACTCACTCATCCTTCAGATAATGTTGTTCTTTTTCCCAATATAGCAGTTCCTTCCCAGTTCAGTATGCCCTTCTACCTATGTTCTGTGTTTCTTTCTTTTTATAACATTACAGCATTTAAAAAGTATTACAGAGCTAACTTCAAAAGTTCTACTACCCTAAATAAATTGCTTCATTCTTTCTTGCTCTCTTGTTGCTTTGTCTGTTTGGCTGAGTTTTATATGATCATTAACACAATGTTCATCGAAATTTTCAAATAATGAAATGCACTCAAAGTCTGGCCCCAAAGTGTATTTGCTATGAAAATGTATTTGCTATGAAAGTTTGCAGTGGCTCTGAGAGGCTTTTAATGCAATTATCATTGCCATGGACCCTGTGGTCAGATAGACTGGCTCAGCATCTTTGTTCTGCTTCTTACTAGTAGTGTGTCCTTAACATTGCCACCTGGTAAGTAGGTTAGCGATAGTCATAGCATTTGTCATATAGGGCTGTTGCAAGGATTAAATAAGATTCATATAAAGTACTTAGGGCTGTGCCAGGAGCATAGCAGTAGTTTAGAGGTAGTATTTAAATAGACTATAAGTCCCCAGATGATAGTTTGTAGTCCTAAAACAGAACCCAGGCAATTATATCTTCATAAGACCTGCTTATTTACTCAGTGTTTTCATCTTCCTTTCTGTGCAAAACTTGTACTTTTGGTCTGCCCTGACACAGAGTGTGTTTTGATTATGCACACCTGGCCGGCAAGAACCAAGTGCTTCCCTGTATCACACTTAGCACAGTGCCACATGTAATTATAGGCTTAACACTTCCCTTCTGATGATAATGATGATGACAGTAACAGCACCATTGATAATGGCTAAGAGATGACAAATAACCTGAAATTCAAAACTTGCCTAAGGAGGGGCCCCCTCTCCTTAACTCTGGGCTGAACACAATAAAAATGATCATCTCAATCACGGATGCAATTAAGCACTTCCCTGCTGGAAGCTGAAACTAAAGGATCCAAGTGCATGGGGGCTGCCCTGTATCTCACGCCTTCCTCATGCTGCCGGCTGTGCTTCAAAACATTAAGAGGCCATCAAGCACCCCAGACCCCAAGTGGCACCAGGTGGCCAGGGTGGTCTCTTGAAGCTTTGTCCTTTTCTGCTTTCTGTTTTCTTGTTCTCTCTCCTCTGCTCTCTCTTCCTTGTAGAATTAAAGTTCAGTTTTGAACAGGTCACTGGTTCCCATGGTTTTCAGAGCTTCTTGAACTCTCTGACTGTGATATTAGCCCTGCAGTCTTGTTTTGCACAGTCTGCATTGTGAGTCCATGTAAGCAGAGGTTAAACATTGTCCTTTTTCCCTTGGCTAGTTTATAATGGCATCAGAATATAATAAATGAAAGACATGCTATGCGAGAGAAAAGAACTGACCTAGAGAAGCTGAAAGAATTGAACATCAACTTGGACAAGTCCCTCGACACTCCTTCCACTGACAGAGCTTTCAGAAATTTCCCGGCTAGGCACTAAAGTGGTTTTGTATCCCAAATGGCCTCTCTCTACCAATTAGGAAAATTAATTCAAAAGTAAAAAAGATGGAATAGAGTGAGCTCTGATTCCCTTAGAGGACAACTGTAAATAATGAGAGGCTGAATGAAGAACAGCAACAGAAATATGAAGCTTCAGGTGAGACACAAGGAGGGGACACAGGGGCAGAGCTCTCCTTTGCTCAGCAACTCTACACACTCAGCCCTTTTAAACATATCCATCTGCAGCTCTCCCTCTGCCTTTGCCAGGCAATTTGCTTCCAGGTTTGAGGCAGACCAATTAGGATATCGATTGGTGTATGAATGAAAGGCAACACTGGTAACTATGTAATGTTGGATAATGAAAATTAAGAATGCCAACATGAGTGTTTCAGAAAATCAAGCTTCTCAATGTGACTTGACTATTTGCTATGTACTGTTGATGCTAGTCCCAGCTCTAAATACTGTGAAATACTCAGGATACTTAGTATTTCAAGATTCTTGCATGGAATATGGAGAGAATTCTACCTGCTTTGAGATCAGTCACACCTGGGTTGCAATAGACTCACTTTTCTCATCTGTAAAATGGTATAACATATATCTCATAGGGTTATGGTAAAGATTGAGTAGCTAATGCATGTAAATTGCTTACTATAGTGCTAGCATCAAATTAGGTATTTTACAAATGGTTGCTAACGATTACAAGTAAAAGTCAAATAATATATTACAATATAAAAATATTATATTACACACATATAGTGGTGTGCTTAATATTGTTACCTAACAGGCTCATTTTAAAAATTAAGTAAGTGGAGGCTGGGCGCAATGCCTCACACCTGTAATCCTAGAACTTTGGGAGGCCTAGGCAGGTGGATCACAAGGTCAAGAGATCAAGGCCATCCTGGCCAACATGGTGAAACCCCGTCTCTACTAAAAATACAATAATTAGCTGGGTGTGGTGGTGTGTGCCTGTAGTCCCAGCTACTCAGGAGGCTGAGGCAGGAAAATTGCTTGAACCAGGAGGCAGAGGTTGCAGCGAGCCAAGGTCACACCACTGCACTCCAGCCTGGTGACAGAGTGAGACTCCGTCTCAAAAAAAAAAAAATTAAGTGGGAAACTATTTTACCTTGATGCTTTTATAGTCCACTGAGCAGAGCAGTCAAATGTACACATAGAAAGTGGTTTGTTCTAGTTGGAGATACAGAAAAGTCAGGGATTATACAGAAAAGTCAGGCATTGTTAGCAAAGCAGGTATCAAAAAAAAGTCAGCAGGTGGGACACATGCCATGCTATTACCACAAGGGAACACAAAGATGACATCTTTCCCCATGCCTATTTTTACTGGGTCAGAAGAACAAAGTGAGAATGTAGTGGGGTAGTGGCACTTCCATCCTCTCCTAAATAATGGCAGCAAAATCAAAGGGGCTATGGTTTTAAGAGCTGTTCATTTCCTTCCCCAACATCTAAGTCTGTTGGCAACTTAAAGTCTGAGAGCACACCAACAGCCTTGGCAAGTCAAGAACAAACTTCAAAAACTAGAGGTCAGACTCTATGATAGATTTGTAATGAATTCATTATTAATTCATTTATCATGCAAAAACAGTTTATTGAGGTCCTTCTGTGTGTCAAGCCATGTGCTCAGCATTGAGCATATAGCAGTGAAATAGACAAGGCCTCATTAGCCGGGGTTGGTGGTGGATGCCTGTAATACCAGCTACATGGGAGGCTGAGGCAGGAGAATCACTTGAACCCGGGAGGCAGAGGTTGCGGTGAGCCAAGATTGCGCCATTGCACTCCAGCCTGGGCAACAAGAGTGAAATTCCATCTCAAAATAAAAAAACAAATAAATAAACAAGGTCTCATCCTTATATCTTTATCGTCCAATAAGGAGACAGAATAAACAAATAAATAAATAAATAGGTCTGTAGGATAATAGTAACCATCATGGAAAAGGAATATAAAGTCGCAGTGTAAAATGACTGGCATATAGATAGTCATACAATCAACTCTTTGGCTTTCATGTGCTCATCAGCCGGATAAAGTTATTGTTTTGGAAACCAAAGATTATCTCCAAACCTATCACATAAAATCTCCTAGAGACCAACTCTCTCCTCTGTAAGCCTTAATTCCCAGTCAGCATCCTGTCTCCTCTCCTTCCACCATTGATGTGTATGTCAGAGGCAAAATAGGGAAAGTGCTTCTGGAAATACAATAAAGTTATTTCTAAGATCACTTAAAGCAGCCCCTGTGATGGGCCCTAGTTTTCTACTTTTGGCCGGTTCTTTATACTACTCTATTAACCTGAGCCATCCTAATTTTAAATCTCTTACAAAAATTCCCTTTGGGATTTATGTTATTAAATACCTTTTAACCACTTTTTTTGTTTGCTGAGATAAATACTTGCTTATTACAGAAAGTTTGAAAAATACAGTAAAATATGAAGAAATGTTTAAAAATTAAAATCACAATCCCATCAACCAGAAGGACTATAATGAACATTTTGGTGTCTTCCCCTCATGTTTTGGTGGATGTCACATGCACATGTGCACATATATACACACACACATCAACAGGCACATGCAAGTGTGCACACGCTTGCAAGCACACATACAAGTTCACACTGCACATTCTGTTTTTTTATCCTAAATTTTCTATCACATTACATCATTCATATATTTTTATCTTATTTTAATTTGTTTTTAGAGACAAGATCTCACTCTGTCACCCAAGCTGGAGAGCAGTGACATGAGCATAGCTCACTGCAGCTCATCATGAGTATATTTTCATGTACAATAAAATTATTTGGTGATAATTTAATAGCTGCATGATATTCTGTCTTACGATTATACTGCACTTTAATCAGCCATTTCCATATGGATGGCAATATAGGATATTTCCCATTTTTTCAGTTAAAAATGCAGCTGCAATAAGCATCTTTGTAAATATATCCTTACACATATCTCTAATGATGTCCTTAGAGAAACACTGGATCAAGGTGGAGGATAGCAAACACTTTTAAGACCTTTAAAAAATTGCCAAATTGATTTCCAAAAATCTGGCTGATGGGCAATCCCACCACCAGGGTCTGAGAATGCCTATTCCTCCACATTCTCAGGACAACAAATGCATTGTTTCTTTTTAATTCTGTAATCCCAACAGTTTAAAAAAATCTATCTCACTGCTATTAAAAATCTTATTAATTTGCTTATTCACTGCATTGAAAATATTTCTTACTATACATTATCCATTTATACAGTTTCTTTCCTGTGAATAGTCAAATTCATATAATTTCCCCATTTTTCTAATGGTTTCGAAGTCCATTTTTAAATTCATTTTATAGTAATTTTGCTGCATAATGATTCCTCCAGTAACTTAGTAGTTGTATTAATCTTTAACATATATTTGACTAGAACTGATAGGAGATTTCAAAATAAAATAGCATACATTCTGTGAAAGCATCTGGTGTTGGGAGATTGAAAGATCCCCACCACTGGAATTAAATCGAAGAAGAGCACACAGGCCAGCACACACAGGTCAAGTTCCTTCCAGCGGTCACTGGGAGATGTCACTGCTGACTGACATGAGCCTCTTGGCCCTTCTGTACCCTATAGATTTAGAGCCATGCCCCTGTGATAGGCCCTTGTTTTCTACCATTGACCTCTTCTTGATACTACTCTATTATCCTAATGTGTTCTAATTTTTAATATAACGTTTTCAAAATGTTTAAAGCCAAATGGTTATTTTGGAATTAGACAGTCAGTCTTTCTAGACTATAAGTAGCATGATGTGTTAGAACATGAGCTTGGAATTGAACAGATATCAAATACGGATTATACAATCTACCTACATTTTAATAGTCCCAGCATATATCACCTTGAACTCATTATTTATACTCTCTGAGGATGAGTTTTCTCTCCAATAAAATGGAGATAATTACAGGTATCTTGCAATCCAGGTGCCCCTCCGTGTTTCACAACAGCAAAGTACCTTGCAGGGGTTGTTGTGAAAGATAGGGATGGAGGTAGCGAAAAAGAAGAGAAAAGATTGCCAGAAATAAACTGAACCCTAAATGCATATTAATTATTGTTCTGTACTTGACTTCCTAACAGTATAAATACCAGTGGACAAGGGGATCATCTTTGGTACTAAGCTATGCAGATTTTTATTCTACCAGAAAGAGCTCCCAGGCCAGGGTTCTTGGCCTACTTAACCCAGGATCCTTTTTCTTTAGCTTAAACAAGAACTTAACTATGTTGTAGGTTTGGTATAATTTTGTTGCAACATAGCATTTTACCAAATTTGTTTTTTCTCTTGTATTTTTCTTTCCTGTTAGTTTTTAGGTAGCTCATCTAAGGACTGAGCTACACAAAGCCTCAGATTTGGTGAGCATGGCCTTGTGGTGAGAGACTATTCATGGCTGAGACTCAGAGCCTTTCGCAGGGACAGGTGCACCACTGCTACAGCATCTCTTTGTTGATAGATTCCCCAGTTGCCCTGCAGGACTTCACTGCAAATGAACTTCACCATCTTTTGCCTTTGGCCTCTGTTATTGGATGTGGTCCTATCTACTAGAGTTCTGGTTCTGGGTTAGGGTTTTCCAATTATCATTATAATTTTTTTTTTTTTTTTTTGAGACAGAGTCTCGCTCTATTGCCCAGGCTGGAGTGCAGTGGTGCAATCTGGGCTCACTGCAAGCTCTGCCTCCTGGGTTCACGCCATTCTCCTGCCTCAGCCTCCCAAGTAGCTGGGACTACAGGCGCCCGCCACCACGCCCAGCTAACTTTTTTGTATTGTTAGTAGAGACGGGGTTTCACTGTGTTAGCCAGGATGGTCTCAATCTCCTGACCTCGTGATCCATCCATCTCGGCCTCCCAAAGTGCTGGGATTACAGGCGTGAGCCACTGTGCCCAGCCAAAATTTTTTTTCCTACTTTTTAAATTGACAAATAAAAGTTGTATATGTTTATGGCATACAACATGATGTTTTGGACATATGTATACATAATGGAATGGCTACATCAAACTAATATATGCACTACTTCACATACTGATTTTTTGTGGTGAAAACACTTAAAATCTACCCTCTTAGCTATTTTCAACTATATAATACACTTTAACTATAGACACCATATGTACAATAAATGTCTTGAACTTACTTCTCCTATCTAACTGAAATTTTGTATACTTTAACCAATGTCTCCCAAATCCACCCACCTATCCCAGGGTCTGGTAGCCACTATTTTATTCTCTGGTTCTATGAGTTTGTCTTTTTTGATTCCACATAAAAGATAGATCATGTAGTACTTGTCTTGTTGTCCCTGGCTTATCTCCCTTAGTATAATGTCCTTCAGGTTCATCCATGTCACGAATTTCAAGATTTCTTTTTATTTTTAAAGGTTGAATCATTTTCCATTGTGTATAGATACATTTTTTATCACATTCATCCTTTGATGGACACTTAGGTTGATGCCATATCTTGACTATTGTGAATAGCCCTTGAATGAACATGGAACTGCAGATACCTCTTCAACATATTGACTTCATTTCTTTTAGATATATAAGATACATACACAGTAGTGAGATTGTTGGATCATATGATAGTTCTGTTTTTAATTCTGGGGGAATCTCCCTATGTTTTCTATAATGGCTGTATATAGTTTTCCAAATATCCTGAAGCTACAAAAACTTTCCACACAAAATGACATATGTTTTGCCAATTCTAAAATAACTTAGAAAGGTATAATGAAAAAGAAGCCCAGATATTACAAATTTATTTAGTATAACTCACCTTGAAATGGTCAAATCTAGCACCAAAATACAGGGCTCTTGTCTCCCTAGTCAAGCAAATAAGCAATAATAATAATAAATCATACAAGTTTAACATTCAAAGGAGTAGAAATGGGTGAAGTTAGTAATTACTGTATTTCTCACCTTATTTTTGTCATTCCTTTCCTGAATCACAGTAAAATAAATGCCCACTTCTCCCATATCCAGTTTACTGAAGGGTATTACTTTCTCTGTTTTGTGCCTTTGCACATGTGGTTCATGGGACCCTAATCCCTCCAACCCCAGCTTCTACCTCCATCCCTCTGCATCATTTCTCTCCTGGTTAACTCTCCCTCTCTTTTATATTTCAGCTTAGATATTGCCTCTCCCTGGGACCCTCTCTGATCATCTCCCTTGCCCTATACTCAGAAAGGAGACACCTTGGGCTCAGGACACCTTGCTCTTATCATAGCACAACTCTCACCATGTTTTAGAGTTTGTTTACAGTGGGTGAAGTAGTAGAGTGTGAGCACCTTCGAGGCAGTGCCTATCATGTTTCATCTCTCCCTTTCCAGTACATAGCATAGCACCTGGTACCATGCTTGGTCGTGGTGGGTGCAGAATAGATGAGTAAACAAACGAATCCGTGTACAAAAGTAAAAAGCATTTTCGGGCAATGCTTGAACTGAGCTGGTAGCCTCCTGAATTGTTCTTGGTAACAAATGCTCTGCTTTGAGGTGAAGATTAGAATGGAACTTGGAAATGGGAGAAGATAAATGAACAGGATTCAGAAATAGCCTCCCAGAAACTTAAAATGTCAAAGGAAACAATGTTCACAAATAGCTACAAAGCAATAAGAGAAACCTAGTTACACTTGCAAAATAGGTACAAAATTCCAAAATATTTCCATCATGCCCTAGGTTTTCATAATAAATACCATTTTCAAGCCTTGGTCTGTGAGATTCCTCTTTTGAGAAAAGCTAGAGGACAATTGTCAACCCACAGCTGTTATCTAAGTGCTATAGGGACTGACCCAGAAATATCTGGCTGTGCTTAACTACTTGAGCCTAATCTTTGTTTCTAGAGTTCAAAGGTTCAATGAGTTCTTTTTTTTAATAGAATTATCCACTTTGTATTCTTATTATCATTGTTTAGAAATCAACCTCACTTTATGACCTCTATACATTTCTGAATAACACAGAGTCTCATCTGCTGCTGGGATCAGACGTGATTTCCATTGTGGCCTAATCAACATGTTTCTACAATGCTGTCAGCATCCTAAAATTTAGCAGTCAGCTAATGGGGCATCCTCTCTATCCACAGATTGCCCAGGTGACCTACATTCTTTGTTAACATAATGAATTTGAACATACAGACATAAAATGTCTGGTATGGAGATGAACATTAAACTTCAAAATCTAGGCATCAAATCGTATGACAGATCTATAATGAATGAATTATAAATTCAATGAATGAATTATAAATTCACTTATCATTCAACAAACGCTTTTAAAGTATCTTCTATGAGCTACTGTACCTATTTTTGACGCTTTACCTATATTTGTGCCAGGCCGTGGCTTATGCAGACCACTCAGCTCAATGATGTGGTTAAAAACACACAGCACAGAATGATAAAAGCTAGATCAAGATCTGTGTTTTTAGATCTCTAGTCTACTGTTTTTTCTACTGGACACAGTCCAAAGAACCCCTGTGCTTCCTCCAGGCCCCATTTTTCTTTTTCAGACCAATTACTTACTTGCAAACATTTGACAGAAACCCCACTCTTTCTGGGTGAAGACTACCAGCATGTGTATCAAATGGTCCGCTGTGTCTGCTGACAGAGAAATCTAATAGCCAGAGGTTTTGCACAAGCAGCAACATTTCCTTTTACGCATGTTGGCTTCCTTTCAAACATAGACTTCCGAACACCATATTCTGAAAGTGCCCACATTTCTAAGACTCCTGTAGCCATCCAGCCTCCTTTCTCCATTTTCCCATAAATCTATTTTGGGGTTGCTGCCACCTTTAATTAACCCATCTGAAAACCAGGAATTTTTAGGAATCATATTAGGAGACTCATCTTCATCTGAGCAATCGACAACAATTGTTCGCCACTATCCCTAATAGAAAGGCATATATAAAATGTGCTTAGAAAACAGCGAGACAAGCATTTATGTATGGTGTATGAAAACCAAATTTGTTACTTTATAGTCATGCTTTGCATAACATACTTCCTTAAGGGAATCCTAAGAGATAATGCCAGAGACGCAGCTGTAGACACAATCCCAGGATGATCTCACCAACTGGGAACCAAGTGCCCCAAAGCTTCATATTAAGATGCATGAAGGGTACCAGAGGCATGATTAGCCATACCTTAGGGCCAGAACGTAAATGGCCAGGCTGCAACATAGCCTCCAGCTCAAAGAAATGACATAAGGGAGGCTAAATGAAAAGGATTGAAAGCAAATCCTCAAAAGTCTCCTCCACCCATACAAAGATACAAAAGTTGAAAAGGCATCAGTTAAACCAAGAAGGCACGCCCACTGGAGCCATCTGAATCCAGAGAATAAGAGGGAACCTTAAGTGCGTGACAAAGGAGAGACAGAGGCCAGCCTGTTTAACACAACTGCAATCCTGACTTGATGGCTGATAGCTGGTGGTTGTTTGTATAACAAGAGGGCACATCATTTATTTCATTTGCAATTTGGGCTTCAGAAATACAGTGCTTCAAACAAAGCTAATGCTCTTCAGTGGAAGCCTTCAATCACCATCTTTAATAAAATATAAACTTTCAGGATAGGAGGAGGACATCTTTCATAAATTTTGAATATAATTGAAAACAGTCTGTATATAATTTTCTTTAAAAAATTACCATGTGTGCAAAAATTACAGTGATTGCTTTTGAAAGCCTCAAATATTTATTTGTTAAGTCAGGACCCCAATTTGTAAATAAATGAATTACCAGCTGTCACCATCTCTCTCTCTTTTTTTAAAAAACAAATGGACTATCCATGTTGTAAGGGCACAGAGCAGATAATAAGCTGTTCCGTGTAAAAGTAAAATATTTTCCTTCAGTGTTAGATGACAAATAATTATTACATTTGAATTTCATCACATACAAAGGTTGGAAGTTTTATGTGTATGTTGACAGAGATTAATAATATATTACATTTATAAAGCTCTTTCATACCTACAAACTACTTTAGATCTACTTTTATAGAATCATAGAAAGTTAGCATAACAGGGCCCTTAAATAATAAGAAAGTTAGCTAATGATATACAACTACTTAACCTGAGACCCAGCATAAGAATATAAATCTATTTCCCATACAGTGTCTCAATTTCAAGTTTGCATTAGGAAGTGGGAAATGGAGACAAAATCAGATCCCCTGGATTCAGTCACAGATCCCTGGACCCTATGTTGTTCCATCTCTATCCACAATCTAAGCATAGGAAATAGTGAGTGATATCTCTGCTCATTCTTTTATCTGTTAGGTTTTTTTTTTTCCATTTAACTTTGTTTCCTTTAGTTTTAAGTCAACAGTCATGTTACCTGAGCACATTTTCAAAAAAAAAAATTCTTTGCAATTATTTTAAGGTAACATATTGACCTGACAATATAAAAAGATAATAGAGGAAGCAGTGTGAAATTAAGGTGCTCAAACCCATGAAATCCAACCCATGCTTACAGACCCATTTCCGTCAACCACCCTCCAGCCTGTATCATTTACTTTTCCTCGCTGTTCAAATCTGGCCTTGCCTTGATTTGTATAGAGTCTCAAGAAGAATTAAGAGGCTAAAAAAATAATAGGGCCATTTTTATACTGGAAATAAATATTAGTAAACAATGGTGTCAAATGTCGTAAAGGTAGCCCATAAGATGAGGTCTGAGAAGAGAACATCAGATTTGACAACTGGAAGGTCATTAATGATATTTGCTAGAATAGACTCAGAAGGACAATGAAGGCATCCAAATATAGGGGATGAAGAAGGAGCCTTTTCCGTCCAAGAAGGAAAGAAGAAAGATTGAAGAGGATACAGTAGACAAAATAGAAGTTGGGTCCAAGAGAGGTTTTCATTTTGTTTTTAAGTGGGAGTGTCATATGTAAAATCCACTGGGAAGGAAAGAGATATTCAAAATTCAGAAGATTTTAAAAATTAGAATAATTGATGGAACATTTCAGAAAAGATTATAGTAAGAGTGGTTAGCCTTGAATCAGAGAAAGAAAAACTCTATGATCCTGAAGCAAAGGAAGTAAAGATAGGTGATGATGTAGAGAAGTGTCTATGTTTGGAGTTAGGTAGGTAAAGTATTTACACTCAGAACCTTGATTTTCACTACAAAATAGGCAGAAAGTTAAGTTGAAACGAAATCTTATAAGAGTTGTTATGGGAAATAGGAGCCGAAAATGACCAAGGTCTTGTAAATGCATATTCTAATATGGAGGCCCAGGGAAGATGAAGAGAATAAATTTACAGTAGCAAAAATCCAGATAAACATTTGAATATCTCTGGAAGGCCAGATATAGACCTTAGAAAGTAGGTAATTGGTTTGAATGAAGGATGACAATTTGCAATGTGAATTCCCCACAAGGCCAAGGGAGCTAGAATTTTTAAGATGGGAGTAAGACGGAGACCTAAGGGGGTCCTAACAGTTCTGTACTAGATGGAAAGAAAATTATACTTAAGTTTTGAAATAATGAAGGGAGTCCAGTACTTTCTTGGAGCGATAAGGTCAACAAGCAGAAATATGATAACATTACACATTTGCAAATGAAAAAGCGTGCTGTTACTGATCATGTCAAGAAAAAGGCATAAATAGGACTGACCAAGAGAAAACTGGGTTGTATAAGAACCATACTCAGGGGTGTATTAAAGATGTTATTGGACTTGTAAACTTCAAGGAACCTGGTCATGATTCTAGTTTTGGGGTGGCTTTCAAAGGAGGTAAGAGGCAAAGTGATATGATGAGCATGGGCTGTATTATAAATGCTCAGTGGATTTGAGAGAGGGACAAGGAGGTTGGTGGACAACTATAACAAGTAGGGTTGGAGGGTGTTATGCTGTGGATAGGTTTATGCAAACCTACCTTCAAAGTCTGAGGAAGCAGGGAGGCCAAAGAAAAGAGGCTGAAGAATCCAGTTTCGCAGAAAGAAACATTTCATATTTGTATGAAACATTTCATAGTTGTATATCATGAAAACAAGCCATGTCTGTGTCTTGAAAGGCAGCAAGACAAGATGGTGGATCCCTGTGCCATTACCCCCCAGGGCTTATATACCATACAGAATGGGTGTATGTGATTCACAAGAGATGCATAGGACAATTAAAGTATGGTAACATCAAGGTTGTTTTTTACCTAAGGACAGGATTTATGCTAAGTGTGTGCTGTTACACAAGGAGCAATAATAACTAGAAATCTTAGAGGCCTTCCTGTAACTGGGGTTTATCAGAAGCCAACATGGTGGATTAACATTCAAGATGGAATTGCTTTAGTCTTGGAGAGGGTGTACAATAGCACAGTGAGAACATCAAAGAAGAACGATGCATTGGGCTGAGAAGGTAGAGGATAGGAAGAGGTGACAAAGTCCAACATAATAAAGATTAAACAAGAATTCTGTGCCTCATGGTAGATAAGGAATAGAAGCATGAACAGCAACCATTCATATGGGCACTGTTTCACGTATACAAATCGATAGGTCTAAAAAGACATAAGCCTCAGAAATATTTATGAGGATCAGCCTCATCTCATCCTTTCTTAGAGAAAACATGAAACCTGGTGTGAAGAGGAAAAATATGTTTGTTATTGCATTTCGTCTTATCATAGTTTACTACAGTATTTACATTTTTATTATACTGTCTATGGGTAGGAAGGAAGGAAACTCCCACAGCTTGTCTGTATTTCTGTGTACTGATAGTTGTCCCATTGAGCTTACAGGAAAAGAAGCCCCAAGCTATGGCCTTTTAGATCAGTTAATGATAACACAAACATGTTCCAAGAAGTTATTGCTATCGTTCAGGTTAGGCTACTGTAGCTAGGATATCAATAAGAAGCACTATTCCTTGTTCAATAAAAAAGAAAAAAGAAATTTCTAACTATATTAGCAAAGTCAAGGTAAAAACACTTGGAAAGATTTTTTAATACAATATACATGTACCTGATTGTATTGAAAAATGGATTTCTGCCATCTATGATATTAGATAAGTCCTTATCAGAAGTCACCATATGTTGCTTAACCAGAAAATTTCCCAAACAATGTTAGTCACTGATCGGAGGCTATCACAGATATAATCCACCATGGCCAATGGAATTTACCATGACAATATGTTTGTTATAAAGAGCTTTGTACAGGTTTAATTATTAACTCCCATTGGAGAGCAATAGGAAATTTTGTACTTGCAATGCTAGTCAACCAATATCACGTGCTACTGGGCAATAATACCTTTACTTTAAGGTACACAGCTACTATCTTAACAATTACTCTCTGTCCTGGTGATTCCTAAAGTGCTTTCATTGTGAAAATATTGATCATTTATAAGCCGACTCTGTCAGTTGGCAAAGTAAGAACTTGTCTTCATTTTAAGACAGCAAATATATTTCTCAGTAATCTCATGTAAGAGATTCAACAAATACCTATTGAGTACAAGTGGCAATTGAAAGAAGCAAGCTTATATTCTTGCTCAGGGACAAAATATGTCTATAAAACTATATTAGCCCATATTCATAAGATAATCTTTGTTCATGATAGAAAGAATATAGCAGGCATTCATGAAAAGGAGCCTGTGGGGGGCAATTTTAGGTAGAAAGTGAAGGTGAGACTACCTGGATGTAGCATGACAGGGAAAAATTAAGTTGGACATCATGGAGGGAAGAATATTCTGTGTGTGTGTGCATGTGCGTGTGTGTGTGCATGTGCATGAGTGTGCATGTGTGTGCATGTGTGTGTGTGCATGTGAGTGAGTGTGCATGGGTGTGCATTCCGTGAGTGTGCATGTGTGCATGTGTGTGTGGATGTGCATGTGTGTGCATGTGTGCACAAGAGTGTGGATGTGCGTGTGTGAGTGTGCATGTGAGTGTGCATGTGTGTGCACATGTGCATGTGTGTATGTGCGTGTGTGTGCGTGTGCATGTGTGTGTGCGTGTGCATGTGTGTGTGTGTGGGGCAAGAGAGCGAGAGAGCGCAAACGAGAGAGCAGAGATTTTCCAAAATGGTAACTTATAAACATTCACTGTATTTAATGAGTGTTTTTTTTTTTTTGCATAAACAGATCACTGAAAGGAAGAGTGAAGAATACATTGCTCTACTCTTAATTTACACATGAGGAAACTCATTCACAGATTTATCTGCAGCGATACCTACACTTTAATGGTCAGAATGAACACAACTCTGTGAATATACTAAAGACCATTGTACATGTTAAATGGGTGAATTCTACAGTAAGTGAATTATATTTTAATAAAATTGTTGCCAAGGAAAACAAAAGAATTGGGGATATGGGACTAGAGTTCATGTCTGCTGACATCCAATTCAGAGAAAAAAAAAGTAATATCCTAACTGCCTTAATAGAACTATGATACAAAGTAACAAAAGTTAAAAAGGTATGAACTTTTCTGCTGCCTTAAACCTCAGAAAGCCTACCTTTCTTACCACCAAATGCAATTATCCATGCCATGGACATTGGGTCTGATCAAAGGGTTTGGGGAATTTATCAACAAGAAGGCTTTGATTTGTCATTTCCCTTGAACTGGTCATATTCTGATTAACATATTCATGAATGGTCAAAAATACTTGAAGATGAGTAATGATTTTAACATTCTTCCTGCTAATGTCATTTATGTAATTATGATGACACCATCTGACTTTTATTGCTGCCATCACAGTCAAACCTTGGGGGGGATAGGGGATAATTCAGATATAGTATTCCTCTGCTGTTTCAGAGAAAATTACAGGACAAACCCACATGAGCTCCTAGCATGAGACCACCCCTAGCCAGAGGGCCACACAAGTTGGTTGAGGAGCAGGGTCTCAGGGGGATGGTCCCAGCCCACCTGTGCTCTAACAGCTCTGAGGCTCCCGGTCATAAAGTTAGCCTGTAAATCTTGCACCCTGTCATCCCTTCCAAGCTTTGGAACTGTTACTTTCTGATCCTATATATTTGTGGAAGATTTTGCTCATACCTTGTTGTAATTCTGTGAATTTATTTTCCCTTTAAAGCCAAACCTTGGGAAAGAGCACACATGTTCATTCAGTTATTCACTTATTTACCCAAGCACATTTGTTTATTCACTTATCTAAGCACATATAACAAACACCACATGACTTGGTCCCATGCTATAGATAGTTAGGCCACTACCTTTCCTATGCCATGAAAAGGTTCCTTTTTAAGACTCTCATCTTGGCCAGGCATGGTGGCCCACACCTGTAATCCCAGCACTTTGGGAGGCCAAGGTGGGTGGATCACGAGGTCAGGAGTTTGAGACTAGCCTGGCCAACATAGTGAAACCGCATCTCAACTAAAACTACAAAAAAAAAAAAAAAAAATAGCCAGGCGTGGTGGCGGGAGCCTGTAATCCCAGCTACTCGGGAGGCTGAGGCAGGAGAATTGCTTGAACCCGGGAGGTGGAGGTTGCAGTGAGCAGAGGTTGTGATTGTGCCATTGCACTCCAGCCTGAGTGACAGAGTGAGACTCCATCTCAAAAAAAAAAGACTCTCATCTTTAACAGAGTTGATATTCTGTATTTTCAGGAACAGTGGGGAACATGGTAGAACAATGGGGAGCAAGAATTGCCAGTGGGGTAGAAAAAGGACCAACTCTGTAGACAATCATCTCAATAAATGAGAAAAGGAAAATAGAAGAGAGAGAAATCTCCTCTCTTCTCCTTCCCTGAAAGCAACTGGGTAATCAGGTCAGCTCTGAAGCAGATACATTCTTCAACAAGGCAGAAATAAATTAATATTCTTTCCAAAGTTAAAGAAGCAAAGAGAATCATACCAAACAATTTCTAAGAAGCTCAACATTTTCAAGAAGTTCAAGTAAAAATGGCAGGTCTTTTCAAACACTGAGAGTATTTCAGATTATTCAAAAGTCATCCATGGCTTGATGTTGTGGAGGAATACTTCCTACCTCTCAGCTGATCCTAGCCATTAATTTTGAATTTTTTATTACTTCTTAAAAGATTTCATTAAATAAAAGGAATCATTTATCCAAGTAGCCCAAGAAGATACCCAATTCAACACAGGCCTTCTTAAACTTTATGAGTGTTACCTACACCTTGATTTCTTCATTTATTCTAAAATTAGATTCAGTTTCACAGAGCTGAGTAAGATAGGTGACCTTATTGTAAGAGTGTGAATTCAAATTAAAACACAAAACCAAGAGCAGATGATACCCTTTAATGATAATGAAGAAAAATATAGAAAAATATAAGAAGATGTCTGTTAAATCCAAAATAGATTCTCAATCATATTTCCAAAAACGTCTTCCAGAAGGCTTAAACAGCTGTTCTACAATGGAATCTCTTGGATCAATGATTACATTACATATTCACTTTTATGTTTAGAAGTATGGCATTTACAATTTCTCTACTTAACAATGCACTTATATCTATGTCTATACATATTTGCAAACGAATTAAAAATGTGATTATTTTCCTAAAACTATAAAGTCAGAAAGCATTCCCTGAAACACTTGTCTGGATATGCCTCTGTATGTACTATTGGGTTTTACATATTCCATTTTTAGATTTTTAAGTTCTTTTTATACTTTTTAATGACTATTTTCTGGGTCATTTGATACTCACTAGGCATTATTATGATGTTCTCACATAGGAGAAAACTGAGGCACAGGAAGAATTGATCTCCATATCAGTGACAGAGATAAGAGACCTCTAGGGTCCTTCAATCCTAAGGTAGATAACCCATCCCATATCGCTGCCATGAACACATCATCGTCAGATGGAAATCCATTAGTACTGGAAGAGTCTTATAACTATTGTGGATAACAGTAAACTTCCACATTGCATGTGTGTGTATGTGTGTGTGTCTTTGTATTTGTTGCCTTTTAGTCAGAAGTTTTCATCCTTAAGTTCACAAACTGGCATTTTTAAATGTTCTTGATGAGGAGGATCTTAAAAGAATACTTTAAATATTTCTAAGTGGAAATATTCCAACTTTACCAAAAAATACTATGCAATCAAGTAAAGAAAAATCTCTGTTTTATCTACAGGATACAATCCATACTCCTTGGACTACCAAGATCCCTCAGCTTGTAAAAGTACAAAGTGCCTTTTTAATGTTACTTTCGGTAAATATCTCCTATCCCTGTGGGGTACCTCCCAAATCTGACTGTGCAGCAGATACTTGGTCCCATCCCACATTTACAGAATTAAAAATTATGGAATCTAACTTTTATTAACTTTTATTTCTGATGCAAGGAGCCCATGTGTTGACAACTGTGGATCCATCCAGTCCCAAGACATTCACCTGACTATATTGTAGCCTTCGATTCCAGGCTCTCATAACTTGATGTTGTCATTGTACCTGATCTTATCTCCCAAAATACTACTTTTGTTTCAAGATCCAGGTCAAATATCCCGTCATTCATGAATTTTGGGCTAATTATTTCCACTGCAATTAATTCTTCCTACTTCACCCTCTTAGAACATTTGTGAGCTCCAGTTTAGCCCTAGTTGCTTATCTGCATCTCCTCTCAAGAGAGATATAGACTCATTTCCTAATGGCATACCAGGCACCTGGTGCTCAGTAAGTGTTTGTAGAAGGCTGAATCTAATCATGTGAACAACTTCAGAACACAAAAACTGCAGTTGTTTTTTATGAAGATGGCACAAGACTGATCGGTCTTTCTGTTTCTCCTTTCTCTAAGAATTTGGGGTGATCATAGACTCCATTTGGCTCTATCACTCTTCTCCAGATGTCCTGTTGAGCTTGAGCTCTGATAGCACAGTTTTTGGTTGAAATGGAGAAATGAAGGAAGAGGGAAAGTTCATATTTATTAAGGAACTCTCCAGGCACTTGCTTTGTTCAGATAACAGGGAACAGAAAGGCTTCAAGGTCACATATGATTCCACTTTCTGGTCCTTTATTAGACATATGTATATAACTTTAAGGATGTTTCACATCTTAAAGACCATATTCATTAAATTCTGAAAATTGTTTTAAGTTATATGTGTCAATATGCTTTAGTGTATGCACTTATGAAATAGCTTTTTTCATTTCTTGTTTGTTTGAAGTTTTCTTCCAAAATTAACTTTAAGCTGCTAACAATACATTCATTCAATGCTCAGAATAAAAACTTTGAGTATGGGGTTTAAAAGTACCTTATAGATTTTAAATGTGTAAAGGAGCCACAGCCTTCCTGGGACCAGTTGTTCTGCCAGACACCTGGGTCCCAGTGGTGCCTTGCAACAGATTCCTCCTTTCTCATGGCCACAAAAAGGAGGGCAGATGTACAGAGGGAAAGGCTGGGCAGTTTATAATTGAAAATATAGTTTACAATAAACTAAGACCATGTGCTAAGGTAGAAGCCCTGGCTGGAGAAGAACCTTTCTTGAAAATCCATTTAACACAAATCTACCCACGTTCAAAATACTCCCCAGTTATCCATCTTCCACTAGGGCTACCATTGAATGCCAGCCATAGCCACAACTGTGTTTTCCTGCTCCCACTTTGGTACCCCCAGTGGCAGCTGGAAAAAAACTCCCAGTGACTTGAATGTTGCTGATTTATGAACATAAACATAAATCATGTTCAGCAAACAACTATAACTATGTCCAAAATTCCTTTAAGTTCTCATATTAGGAAAAAGTAAATCTATCCTGTTGACACAATTCAGGGTTTTTCAAAGACATGAGCAGCCAAGATTCTGCTCTTCAACCCTCTCTATCATCCAACATGAAGGGACTACTGTCATTAATAATTGAAGAGTTTCAGGAGGCTGGAAAAGTCCTAACACTCAAATAAAGGATTACATAACAGATTGCAGTCTTGGAATTGTATGTGTTCAATTATTCTCATAAAGTAATACAAAGTAATTATTTTTAATCTCCATTTTATAACTGAAGAAATTGAGGCCCATGGAGGTTAAGTAAGTTGCTTAGGATGCCACAGTTAATTTTTGTCAGTGTCAGAATGATGCTAGATAATGCAGGAGAGAATGAGAGGCAAGAAAAGAGACCTACGAAATTCATTCCTTTCAACCTGCTTTACCCAACTTTACAGCTGATGTCAAAATTGAGTCTAAATGGTTTCCTCCCACATAAAATCTGATTTTCCAGGCTACCCAACCCAGGGAGGCAACCCTTGATTCCCCCAGAAGGTGTCACTGTGGTGTACAAAAGAGCATCCTTTATCTGCTCTAGAAATTGTATCTTCTATTCTTAAGACTTCTACCACTTGTACATACAGAGAACCAGTAGAATTATACAGTGTTACAATTAGAAACTTAGATAATTACTAACCTAATTCTTTACTTTACAGATAAATTTGGGCATAGAAATGTGACTTGCCCAAGGTCATATGCCATTAGGCAGGCAGGACTAGAATGTGATTCTCCTGAGAGCCACAGTCCAGTCCCATCTCTTACTCAGCTCTACCCTCTCTTCTTCTTGCTGTAACTGGTGGCAGGGTGTCCATGGTCCCTTTATCTGCAGCAAAGCCTGCTGCAACTCCCTATATTTTTAAGAATGTAAAAAGAAGTATATGTAAAAAGAAGCATTTTAAAAATATAAAATAAATTAGAAAGAATAACACTGGGTCCTTGCGTACAACACTTCCTTTGAGACCCTGCTGGGTTATAGAACAGTGTGGAATCCTATACCGGAAGGGACTGAGCCATTTGGACCAACACCTTCCTTTATTATTATTTTTTTACTACTAACTGAAATTCAGATTTTTATTGGATTTCAACATTTTTTTACACCAGTTTTTTACACTAATGTCCTATTGTTTCCTCAGGATCTAATCAGGAATCACACATTGCATCCCATCATCATATCTTTTTAGTCTCCACTGGACTGTGATGGTTTCTCAGTCTTGCTTTTTCACCACCTTGACAGTTTGGGGAGTACTGGCCAGGCGTTTTGCAAAATGTCCCTTAGTGTGGATTTGTTCACCTTTTTCTCATATCAGGCAGGAGATACAGGTTTTTGGGAAGAACTCCATAGAAGTGAAGTGTTCTCCTCATCATATCATACTGGGGGACATGCTATTAACATGACTTGTTACTAGTGATGTTAACCTTGATCACTGATCAAGCCAGTGGCTTCTGGGGTGTTCTGTTACTGTTTTATCCCCTTTCCATGCTCTATTGTTTGCATATGAGTCACTAAGTCCTGCCCACACTTATATTATTTGGAATATATCTATAAGAAAGATTTATGACTTCTTCCCCATTTGTTCATTTATTCAATTGTTTATATCAGCACGTACTCATGTATATTTATTTTATATTGTGAATTGTAATCCAATCCCATCCTATTTTGTTGCTCAGATTTGTTTCAGCTCTGACAATTGGGAGCTCTTTCATATTGTCTCCAGGGTACCTTTGGCATTTTTTTGTTTTGAGCAGTCCCTGGCTCTCTGGGACTACAGGATGCTCTTGGCTCATCTCATACTTTCTCTAACCCAGTTTTAGAGTCAGTTATTTCTCCAAGGAGCCAATATCCCTTTTACTAGAGAATGGTATTTAAAAACCAAAATTGAGGCATTGGATATACTTGTTGCTACTGGAACATCACTGCTTCTAGTCTCTCTCAATGGAAAAGCTGGGATATATGTTATATTGTATTGTATTATGTTATATTATATTATATTATATATACAGACACATAGATATAAAGATATATATCCCATATATTTTATATGTAAATATTATATAAAATATATATTATATATGATATATATTTATATACAATATATAGTTATATATTCTACCTATATTTTTATATTTTTATAGCATATAATATTTAGATATTGTAATATATACACTTAATATATAATGTGTATGTATTAAATATATATACACATACAAATCTATATATGTATAACTGCCCATGTGTACACACATGCACAATTATTTCTGAATATATATTAAACTGATAAAAGCTCACACTAATGTCTCTGACTCAAATCCAATACCCCAGGGTTCTTTTGATTTGCCTTGTAGTTATCTGTAACTTCCCTAACGTTAAGAAATCTGACTCCCCACACACCAGCCATTAACTTATCAATACCTCCTTTTAGAGAAAAGCAGGTTGAGGAGAGAGGGAAAGTCACGTGAACAAGGTCACAGCCTATAGGAGTGGCAAACTCTCCTGGCTTCTATATCAGAGGACTGTTCTTAAAGGGTACATTTCTTTCTAATGACTGTACTTTTTCTTCAGCCATGCTTATTATGTCTTGCCTCTCATTTTTTATAATTGTATTGTTTTATACTTGGTAATATCTGATTTCCTCACATGAATATTTTCTCACTTTAATAAATGGTATAACTATAGGTACCCTCCCACCATGAATTTAGAAATGTTGTAAATAAAAACAGCCTCTAAAAGAGAAGCTGGCCAGGTGTGGTGGCTCACGCTGCTAATCCCAATTCTTTGGGAGACCAAGGCAGGAGGATCACTTGAGGCCAGGAGTTCAAGACCAGCGTGGTCAATATAGTGAAACCCTCTCTCTACTAAAATACAAAAAATTAACTGGGCATGGTGGTGCACACCTGTAATCCCAGCTACTTGGGAAGCTAAGAATCACTTGAACCCAGGAGACAGAGATTGCAGTGAGCAGAGACTGCATCACTGCACTCCAACCTGAGCAACAGAGTGAGACTGTATCAAAATAAAATAAAATAAAATACAGAGAGAGACTACAAATCAGTTCAGAATGCAGTGATTAAACAACAGAAGGTGGCAGAATGTCTATAGGGCAGAGGTTTAGGAGGTACTAATCTGGTGAGAAGGGAGTGCTGGGAAGCTTCCCTTAAAGTTTGATTTGTAGCAATTTGTATTGTACATAAAAAGTAAAATACTTGGCAAAGATCCTTTTGTTTCCATTTGACAGAAGATTGAAAAATAAAACAGCATTACCCTGTCAAAGAATATCATTACTGTTTTTAGTTTGGGTGGGTTGAGGGAGGGCCAAAGCCCACCTCCTAAGTTTCCCTCCTCCCAACCCTGAGGTTGCTTCTCAAACTATTATCAATCCCCACAAGCTCACATCACTAACAGTGGATTCTTAATAGAGTAGTGATTGCAGAGATTTTCCATCTGTAGGTTTAGAAATAGAGGAAAGATTTGGCATTTGGAAACAAAAATAAATAAAAACCAAGTTATTTAGGGGAATACTGTTCTAACTTCTGTTACTCTCTTTTTCCCTGAAGTCATTGATATAAAAAGCCAGGTCAGTTATAAGCAAAGAGGTTTTCAGGTCAAATTAACATTTGAGTGCAGAATGGGTCTACCCAGGATAGGGTGGGAGTGAGGTTGATCAATAATGGAAGCATGGGAAGAAAGCATGTGGTGAGTTAAACTGTGCCCCGTACAATGGTGTTTCTACATTCTAATCTTCAGTACCTGTGAATATAAACTTATTTGGAGACAGAGTCTTTGCAAATGTAATTAAGTTAAAACTAGGTCATCCTGGATTACAGTGGGCACTGAACCCAATGACTGGTGTCCTTGAAAGAAGAGAGGACACACACAGAGGGAAGAAGCCCCCCTGAGATTAAGCCAGAGATTGGAGTGATGTAGCTACAAGCCAAGGAATGACAAAGACTGCCAAAATCACCAGAATCTGGAGGAGACAAAACAGGATTCTTCTCTAAAGCCTCCAGAAGGAGTGTGGCCCTACTGACACCTTGATCTCAAATTTCTACCTTCCAGAACTGTGAGAGAATAAATTCCTGCTGTTTCAAGTCACCTAGTTTTTGGTATTTTGCTACCCTAGGAAACTAATACAGAGGGTCATAGAAGCAAACTTATGTTGGGGGACAAGTGAGCCTTGGCCAGGGCACTGATGTTCCTGCAGGGTGATCTCTAAACACAGGAAAAAGTGCTTGAATCTCCCCATCCCACCTCTAAGCCAAGAAACACCTCTTAAATGTATCTAGCCAACTCTCAGGTATGAGTCTATGGGCAACAACAGCTTTCTCTTTCACTACAATAGAGCTTCCCTCAAATATCTGCCTACAGGGAATGAGTGTACTAGCTGTGCCAACAGAATATTCTGGGGTACATGGCAGTGACATTTCTCATTGCAAATTAATAAATCCGTCTATGCACTTTGCTATTAATAATATGACTATTCCCTGGAGAGGCAGACCTTCGTATATGCTGACTAAGTCAGGTTTGAGAGCTTACAAAGCTGAGCACCTGACTTCTGACACCAGTAAATTCACCTACCCGAGAAGCCCCTTGAGACAAAACACCCAGCCTTTGTGACAAATGCATCACTCACACCATATGCAGTTTTTATTCAAAATTTCTACAGAATTGATTTCACTTCCTTCTGACCTCTTCTAGCATGGTTTTTATTAAGGTCATTTCATTTTATACATTGATTTATACTTTGTATTTGTTTCCATAAAGCAGAATCATTATTTTGGACACGCCACTTGGTCTCTCTGAACCTTAGATTCCCTACTGACAAAATGGGTACAACAATAACTGCTCAGCCAATCTCCTTTGGTTCTTGTGTGGATCAAATGAATTAATGTATATGGAAATACTGTTAAAACCATGAAGTAAATGTATTTTATTATTGTTGTTGTAATTACTATTAGCCTTATTTTTCAACTATTTCATTTCTGTAATTTTGTCAATATCCTCAACAAAGTAGAACAGTTAATGCAGGATACCCAAACCTCTTTACCTGTGCAAAGCATGCTCATCTTTCAAAACCTAACTCAAATGTCACCTCTGCTGTGAAGCCTCTACTGCCCTCAATCCTCTTCCGGTTGCCTCTTACAGTATGTGTTTGTACATATGTGTCTTTTTCTGCACCCAGCTGAGTTCCTTAAGGGCAGAAGCCAAGGCTTTTCTCTATATCCCCACAGTGTTGAGCACTCAGTGCCTTCCAGTCAGATGTGTTGACTGACTTAAAGCGGCAAACGTGTGTTAGCTCACAGTCTATGAAGGCCAGGGATCTAAATACAGCTTAGCCCAGTACTTCTCCCTCATGGTCTCTCCTGAGGCTGCTGTCAAGCTGTCAGTCTGGGCTACAGTCATTTGAAGGCTTGACTGAGCTTGTGGATCTTCTTCTCAACTTCAGCTGACTGACTGAATGAATATGTCACATTTATCTTTAATACACTTTCCACTCAGGGCTTTTGTTCTTCTTCTAGTCAAAATAGATTCGACTTCACTTCTGTTGAAGTGTGCTCAGGAGTGCAAATGCAAACAAATCACTAGCATTTATGTGAGTCTGCAGCTAAGAGAAAGTAACTTTTCTACTATCCAATCATGGCCCATTATCTCCTCACCTCCATTATTATGCATACATAAGTGATTGAAGGAAATTTTACCCCAAATTAAGAGTCTTTTCAGCAACATGAGACCAGTAATATTAACAACTATGCTCACTGAAATCAGATAGCTATTTATTTCTATATTTTCTAATTTGCATTTTCTATTTCCTACTACATCAAATCCAGATTCATCTGCCTTTATATACTGAGGAGCTACCCTGTATTTATTAAGCTCCTATACCATGCTAGGCACTGCGCTTGAAGACACAGATGAGGAAGAAGCATAGGGTCCCTAGCCTTACTCAGCTGACAGTCTATGCAGGAAAACAGACAACTTATTATAAGTATTCTCTGGAACCTGATGCGTCAATTTATCCAACCTCATTCATTACTTCCCAACACAAGTCTTTCTACTCATTATTTCTTATGAATTTTTCATGCTTCTCCAATTACCCAAAGCTGCCCCATATCTTTTGAAGGCTACCTAAAATGAAATGTCTTCCATGACATTTTTCTTGAATCCTGATGCTTTCAATAACCTACTGCTTCCCTGAATTTCTACAGCAAATTAGCACTTAATTATGAACTTTCTTGCTTCTTTCTCAAGTTGTTTCGTGTGATTTAGTCATATGGCTCCAACAGATGGAAATTTCTTTCAGGTCCAAGCTCCTCCCCAGTGCTTAGAAGGTACTCAATAAATGCTTGCCAATTGATGGCTAATAAAGATAAAATGTTTACTTCAATGTCCTTGACCAAAATTCTGTGCATTTGAAGCTAATCTAATAAGGCTACTTTCTGAATTAATATTCTAGGTGCCTAAAGCTGAGCCTAATTTGAATTAAAACTTACATAAATTATTTTAATAAAAATAAATGCACAATGCCTTAATCTTTTCTGTACTTAGGATTTACTGGGTAATATTAATAAGTTACTGTTGCTTAGTGTGGAAGCTTAGCAATGGGAATGTTAAATATCCATATCTTTTTATAACTACAAAAAAGAGCTACTGTTATTTGCAGCATTCTTTATGTTTTATTTTTATATTTTAAATAACTTTTAATTGTATATACTTAAGGTATAACATGTGATGGTATAAAATACATAAAAATAGTAAAAATATTACTATAGTGAAGCAAATGAAGATCTCCATCATTTCATACAGTTACCCTTTTTTTGTTTATTTTAGTGACAAGGGCAGCTAAAACCTACTCATTTAGCATTAATCTCATATATAGGGCACTGTTATTACCTATAGTCCTCATGTTGTGCATCAGATGCCTAGACTTGCTTATCCTACATATCTGCTACTTTAAATCTTTATCTACATCTCCCCATTTCCTTCTTTTTGTAGCATTTTTAGATAAAAGACCTGAAAGAGCCTAAGGTCTTAAAAATAATTTGGATTTAGAGTCACACATACCTGGGTAAGTCAAATTCTAACATAAACATATGACAAACTGCAATCACTCCAAGCTTCCATATTCTTGTCTATAAAATTAAAATATTGCTATTGGCTTTTCAGAGTTACTGGGAAAATTACAATGATGTGCCTAAGTCATTTAGCTCAGAGCTTAGTTCACACTAGCTGTGCCTACAGCACATCTACACTTTTCAGTAAATATTTATTTAGGAAAAATTGGAAGTATGTTGACCTCAAGGCAAAAGTCATTGTTAATTATACAATATACCAAAAAAAAAAAAAAGAAGATCCCTGAACATTTTCAAAACTCCTTTATTAAACAAGTTCCCAGGACTGACTACATCTAACAGTGCACTAAAGGAAATAGTGGGCAATTTAGACCCATGGTTTCCTTATAGTTCAGTGGATCATGAAACAGCCTTGAATCAAAGACTCTTACAAAGCAGAAAAGCCAAAAGAAAGAACAGTCAAAGACAACTGAAGGGTCGTGAAAACAAAAGCACTGTTCTCTGGATTCTTTTGTTTCCCATCTTTCTTTGAGTGCAATAATCCATTGTTAGTATGGTTTGTCAGGTTTCCCTTGAACAGTCACATGTTCCATCCACAATACCTATACACTCTTGGTTTGTAAAGGCATTAAAACTCTAGGTACCACTGCCAATTCCCATGAAACATTTTAGTAACAATATTTGGCTTTGAGTTTTAAAACTTGCTTTTTAAAATAATTCTGCTTGCTAACAGCCCACAATATTGAGAAATAGTCTGAGTATACATTTTTAAATTGTATGTATATACGTTAACTACATTTATTTGCAAAAGTATCTACACACTTTAAAAATAGTTAGCTACACTTTGGGAGCACTTTGGGAGGCCAAGGTGGGCGGATCACCTGAGGTCAGGAGATTGAGACCGGCCTGGCCAACATGGTGAAACCTTGTCTTTACTAAAAATACAAAAATTAGCTGGGCATGGTGGCAGGTGCCTGTAATACCAGCTACTCAGGAGGCTGAGGCAGGAGAATTGCTTGAACCTGGGAAGTGGAGGTTGCAGTGAGCTGAGACCACACCATCACACTCCAGCCTGGGGGACAAGAGCAAGACTTACTCTCAAAAAAAAAAAAAAAAAAGGAAAAAGAAAAAGTTAGCTAACGACTAGCCTAGCCTTTAAAAAATATTTAGCTAATGTTCCAAAAGAGTGATTCAAGATGTATCCATATTGTTTGGGCAAATCAGACTAAATTGAAGTCTTTGCTACACTCAATTTTTGGAATAGGTTTGAGCAGTATATTCATTTAAAGAGTAAAGGTTATGGGGGAGGGTCAGGAGATGTGGGTCCCAGTAAGTGGCTAGATTAATTACACTCTGTAGTTGGGAAGAGTGAAAGAAGATGATGATCAACCTAAGGAGTAGAACTACCATGGAAAAGGATCCTGGAAGAATATGGGAGTGGGAAAAGATGATCTGTGTTCTGGGTGTGACAAGAATGACATCAAGTCAGAATACACAGATCAGCCCATGTTTTCATGCTGTCAAGGGGAAATTGTAGAGAAGGACTGAGGGATTGGCAGAAATATGATCAAGGCAAGCTCTCAGTGAGGAGGATTCCTGTTAAGACCTCAGCCCTGGATACTAGTTGATTTATCTCCAACCCTCTTAAATCCACCCCATGTAAGCTCATGGCATTCTTAGGGTGATATGCAAAGGAGCTCATGGATCATGCTCAATTGATTTGTGCTCCTCAAGAAACTTTTGCACAGTTCACAAGAAATAGAAATTGTCCATAATAATTTGTGGATCTAATGGGGTTCTGAATCTTATGGATGGTGATGGGATCTTAATTTGGTGTTTCTGGGTTTTGGACACTGTTTTGGGAAGTGTGGGCTGACAAAGTAGGGGTAACATTACCTCAATTCCAAAAACCACAGGTGGACTAATCAAATACTGCCAGATACTGTTGTGTTTCTTTGGTAAACAAAGGGAAATTGAGCAGTGCCCCCAAACTAGGAAAATCCTTTCGAAGCTCAGACTTGATATGCTATAAGGGCTTAGCCAGTCATGTAGAGTTCTGTTGGAACAGAGGTAGGCTGGCCTAAAAGGGATTCTGGTGAGCTATGTGAAAATGCCCTATTACGTGTAGCCACAATGATATGTGGCCAGTTGGCTGAATAACCTAACAGGAGTAAGTGTTAAGTGTGCCCTGACCATCAAGAAGGATGGAAATGAGGAGATCAGCATGCACTGCCATCATATTCTGAAGGAAGTGAAAGAGAGTGCCAGAGGAAGCCTCAGAAGTAGAATTCCTAAGATTTGAGGAATAGCTCGGTTGTATAACATTGACAGTGTGGACATCAAAGACCCTCTGAGTGTAGGTCACAGTAGACTGTCCTGTACCCCTTTACATTGAAGCAGAATTGTCTTCAATATTGATGTTGATACAGGAACATCCAGTTAGCCCTTGAGGAGAAGGCTTGGATTTTGTTTACTCCCATATAAGAATCTTTCTAATATAATACAGTGCTTCCTACTTTTTAGTAGTGACCAAGTGCATATCTTATCTCTTCCCAGGAGTAGAAGGGGCTCTGTGAATGTGAATACAGGGAGCTTTTCTAATTTACCTTGAATCCCTTCCACCTTATCAGATCGTGATTTGAAAATATAATAGTACTTGAACAGTATATATTTAAGAAGTGGACAACAGAGAAAGGAAGAGAGGGAGATGGGAGAGTGGAGAAAACAAACACTATTATGCTATTTCCCATGGCCAGAGAGGAAGCAAGAGAGAGAAACTGACAAAGTCAGACTCTTTTTAACAACCTGCTGTCTCAGGACCTCATCCATTCCTGCCACAACGAGAAGTTACTCACTCCTGAGAGAGGGCATTACTCATTCCATGAGGTACCACCCCCAAACACCTCCCACTAGGCCCCACCTTCCAACATTGTCATAACTGGGAATCAAAATTTCAACATGAGTTTTGATGGGGACAAACCATATCCAAAACATAGCAGGGCTCAATATGACTGTCATTCCACCCACTGCAACCCATGCCTCACTCTTGTGTTGACATTGTCCTTTAAAGAGAAATGATCAATAAATCAAATTAACAGGCCAGAGTAAAATTATGAATTGTAAATATTTACCAGAGACCAAGAAAGCCCTCCAATGTATTCTAAGAAGGAAACAAAATGGGAAAGGCAAAGAAAAAAATTTAAGCATAAGATAAGCTACTATCTTAATGCTACCTGCATAGTTTATTATTTAATTCTTAGAAGACATGAACATGTTCAATTCTATTGTGTTGGAACATACAGACAATATTATTCCTTAATTGAACTAATTTGAATAAGTAAGTGTGTGGAACAAAATCTGTCTTTGGAACATAAGAATCAAAATGGCATCTGCATAGTGGTAAAAAAAATAGGAATTGGAAGCACACATCTACCTATCAGGATTTTGAGAAACAGATTCATCCTGAATGATAACCACTGGTAAGATTAGCTATAAATATTAGAAAAACAGATTTAAACTTTTAAAATAAATATTAACTTTGCATAAAAACATAAGTTCACTTAGACTATGATTTGTGTCATTAGTAGTTTAAGCGGATTAGCCACCTGTACACTTGAAGATCCTTTACAAATTCTTGCTCCTAATTTTTTTTTCTGAATATTTTAAGTGTTTTGGAAACTATGTAAAAGGCCAGTCCAGCTTATCTTGCTTCATGCCTTCATCCCTAGCTTCCACCAGCAGCAGTCAGATGGATGAGTTTGCCCAATCACTAAAAGGGACAGTTGGAACACACGACTGACTGATGTTATGCAAAATGTCAGAGACTTTTGAATCTGATCTTGGCATAACATGATGGAAACTTTCCAAATCCCAGGACTGCAGAGAGTGTACGATCACCACACAAAGGGACTGATGTGTTGCATATTGAATTCAGGCAATGATTACATATAATTGTATCATTACCATCATTACCTAGAGTGAGATTAATGGAAGCAACTATTCAGAAAAAAAAAAACAAGAAAGAAATTAGCTTTGAAGTAGCATAATGAAAGATTTTAATTGTGGGAAAAATTCAGTCACATTTTTAAATTGCTGGTTGTGATTCCATCAAACTCGCTAACCCCACGACTTATTCACTGCTTCAATGCATGTGTTTGATTTCATTTGGCCACACAATGATTAACAAAGGTCAGATATCCACAGAATATAACCTCACCACAAAGTGAATAAACCCACATGTCCAAAATGTATATTTTAATAAATGGGCAGAGGTAATTGGAAGAACACCTATGGACAAAACAAAGAAAAATGAACTGTTTTGGCTTATCGTTTTTAAGCGTCATGGAAATAAACACATGGATGGTATAACTCCTGTTAGAAGCAAAATAATATGGTACAGACAAGGATTATATATGTTTCATATCAACTTGGAAACTAGAGGTTCCTAAGATAATGGTTCAATTTTATTCAAATGCATCCATATGATTTGCATACGAGGATTCCATTGGTTGTTTCTTCACCTGGAGCTGTGTGCTTTTACCAACAGTACATACGTGGTTTTTACCCACTGTACATGTACATAAGACATAAGACTTTTTTTCTTTCTTGACTGAGCATAGGGAGATGTTCCAAACTATGGGTTATGCAAAGGAAGGTACTGGGATTGCAAATTGGAAGGAGCCTGGAGATTCACTTTTCTCCCCTTTCCATCAGTGAAGCTTCTCTGAGAGTTCAAAAGGGAGCTCTTGGAGGGGTTATGAAGAGATTCAGAACCTGAGACCTGGGAATGGATCTGGACACTTAGTTCTGTACCTAAACTTAGCATTTGGTAATAGGCCATGGTTTAGATATTGTTAAAATATAGACTTTTTGTCAGTTGAGTTCAATCAATATGTCAATTAATATTAAATCACATTCACATACTATCTAAAGTGAAAAATAAATAATCTGAATTGTGGGTTCCTTCGTATTGTCCCTGTGTTTGCTCTAGAAATTTAGAAGAATAAAGAGCTCCATGTTCTCTAGCCTGGTAAACAGGATTAGTAGTGTTCATCCTACCTATTATAGAATACCAACTGCCCACTCCTTATATGATGTAGCAGTTTTACATATTTCAAGTCTTTCCTACATATCTGTTTTTTCAAAAGCCTTAAGAAGTAGAAAAACCTGGAACCACTACCTACTTTCATAGAGAAGGCATAAAGCAGAAAAGTGGCTTGAGGTCAAACAGACAAAGACTTGCAATCATTCCTCATTACTCCTAGTTCAGAATTTTTTTCAAAAATGGCACTTAGAACCACATGGAAATAAGAACCAGTTTCAGTGATGAAATCCATTCACACTGAGCCACGTATCCTATGTGGTCTGAGCCACCACATCTCCCTCTAGAAAACTGCAGTAATACCCTCAATGGTTTCCTGTTTCTACTCTTTCTTAGTCTCTTTTGTATCCTATAGCCTGAATGATCCAGTCAGATGGTATTCTGATAATGTCACCTCAACACTTAAAATCCTTCAATGACTTAGCACTTGCTCTTAGGAAGAAAGGCTAAAACCCTTAAACGAGGCCCACTTCCCTTAGATTTTGATGTACACACCACCTTATCCTACCAACTACTCTCTATAAACTAGTAACCCTTCCCCCAGTCATTATCCACCTCACTCTGTCTGTTTTGTTTTCTTCACTACATTTATCACTACCTGACATATTTTATATTTGTCTGCTTCGTGTTAATTATCTGCCTTCCTAGGACATCACTGGCTTTGTTCACTTCTTTATCCCAGAATAGCACCTCATAGCAGATGCTTGGCGTTTAGTGAAATAAGGAATGTATGACTTCCCTGTAATGCTCTGCATGATCTAGTTCCTGCCCGCCTCTCCAGCCTCATCTCACAAGCATTTGGTGGCTCTTGGTTCTCCAGGCCCACTATTCTTCTTCACGTTCCTGGAATGTGACAGGTTTCCTTCCTTCCCATTGTTCCTAAGCCTGGAATGCATTTTCCTCCAAATCCTTCTCTAAGTATTGCTTGTTTCTCCCACTAGAGTGCATGTTTTATCCCAGCAGGATATTTTTCTCGTTGTTGCTCTGCCCACTTTGTATCAGTAGTACCTGGTCTGTAGAGTAAAGGCACTGGGATGTAAGGTTCCTGTTTCTTTACATCCAAATAGGTAATGTGTTTTTCTATTGAATTAAAACCATTCAGTGTTTTACATTGACCGGTTCATATTTGGAAGTGCCTGAGTTAATTGGGCAAAGTTAGGCAATCCATAAACTGCCATAAATGGAACCCCATTAGCAAATTGCCCTCTCTATTTATGTAGTTAATAATGGCAAGTTTGGTGTGGCTTTCACAAAGCTAAATGCTTTTAGTGCAAATTATGTGACCAGATTCTCAAAGCTTCTAGAATAAACCACATTGAAAACATTTATTAACCCTCTAGATTTAGGTGAGATAAAATTGGGCTTGTAATATTTAAGTTATTATAATTGCAGCATTTTTTTTAGAAGGGAAGAACTCTATTTAGAAACTGTAAAAGTCAATCTTCATGTTGGAAGCTACACAAAAGTGGCACTTCTCCCTGCTTTCTGTTACGAATGGCACAGAGGGTCTCCTCACATTGTCTGCGCTCGTGTTAGTGAACAAGCAGACTGAAAAGAAGACTTGATTCTAATTCAATCCAGTACTACATTCTCTACTAGTGAACTAGCAGTAAGCCCCTCTCCTACCAGTGGGTCCATCTGTGGCAGTTCCAAAACCAAGTCAGAATTAGCAGCAGCTCCTTTGATATTTAATATACGTTGACAAAAGGAACTAATCAGAAATGCTCCCTACTTCAGAGTAAACAAAGGATAATTTCTCCCCAAACCAACCAATTAATCAATAAAAACAATATTTCCACTACTTTTGAACAATTTTGCCTAATGTTATCCCTATTTAGAATAAGAAATTTCACTCTTGTCAATCAAATTAATGAGTATTCTTAAATTTTTGGTGTGTGTTTGCAACTGACACATCATCTCCCTGATAGCATGGAAATTAACTGGCAAATTTGGATTCCAAAAATAGTTGATATGTAGATAAATGTGTCCTAAGGATTCAGAGCAATGGACGGAGGATAAGGGAGTGGGTACAGTGAGAAAAAAATGGCTTTGGAGGAGAGACTGACCTGGAATAGACATCCAGTTCTGCCGCCCACTAACTGAGAACTCAGGAAATACCATTTGACTTGTCTAGACTTCTGCATTCTTCTCTGTAAAATGGGACTAACAGCATATCAAAGTCATGTTGTGGTAGAATTAAAATGTGATAGTATAAATTGAAGGGATAACATAAAGTCTGATATAGAGTAAGCACTTAATAAATGCCGACCCCACCACCAATAGTAATTTACTAACAGTTTCAGAAGGAATTTCAGGCACTATAGTTTTCAGGCATTATAGTTGGACCCATGTAAAAACTAACCAGTATTTTTCTTCTGCGTTTTAACCAACAAAATCATTCATCTAAAAGTGTTCTGTATCATGTTATCTATGTTAGGCAAAAGGCAACAGCTATATAATTTATATGGTAAATTTAGATGGGGAAGGGCAGTGTAAGAAGAGATTTTTTCCTTTAACAACATCTAAGACAGGGAATATAAACTTGGCCATCCTATTATGAAGGCAGGGAAGGCAGCCACCTAAATGACATGATTTGCAAGTCTACTCACTCATTCATTCAACATTTACTGGGTTTGCACTATGTGCAATTCACTGTGTTGTTCCATGGGGATAATGTGAGTAACACCTGCTACCTCTCTTCCTTGATGGAGCTGGGTATAATGGTGGAGAAGATATTAATCTCAATTAAGGTATTAAATAACACTGTTTAATATATAATTAAACACTGAGATAAGACCTCTGATGGAAGAGAGCAAGGAACCGAGAGAACATACGACAAAGGAATTCCATTTGGGATAAGACATCCAGGAGGGCTTCCCTGCAGAACAGTGCTTTGCATGATGGACAAGGAAGGTTAGCTGGCAGAGCCAGCAAACATCACTGGCCTTCTTCTCCTGGAAAGTTGAACTCCTGGGGAGTTCAAGATATAGCATCTCAAAGCCTCTTGATTCCCCCAGGTCTAGTTGGTTGCTTCCTCCTCTGTGCTCCCAAACACTCTCGCTATGCTCTGCTTAAAAGTTTGCCATAATGTAATTGTCTGTTTATAGCTTTTTCCTCACAGGTAAGGCCAGGATGCTGTCTTGCTTTCTGTAACATCACTGCTCAGTCCCAAGAACCCAATGGGCACCCAGAAAATGTTTTATGAATGAATCTACGCCTCTCTAAGCCTGATGTGATGCCTAATACTTCCACATAATACATGTATTTTAATTAAAAGTCAAGAAATTTGAAGAGTAGTTTTTTTTCTTTCCAGTGGTGGAATTCCGTACAATTTTATCTGATTATTTGACCTTTTATTCTAGTTACAGCATTGTTTATACAAAATATATGATTTTTTAAAAAGTCTATTAGAATACAGGACATCAGACACTAACACCTCTGTTTAGGTAACTGCTGTGATAAATTTTAATAACCTAGAAAGATTAAAAGGGAACAGAATCCTGGACAACAAAGTTTTGATTTAGGGAAGTAAACCTGCTACACAATTTTGTGGTAATAACCAAGAAAGACTTATAGATTCTTTACAGCAATGATTAAACTGAAACTGCCAGGAAGTTTCATAAGGCTAAGTGGTACTTTGTCATGCAATAATAATTCTGTTTGGTTCAGCAAAAATGCAAGGAAATTCAGAGGACTTTTCTCCTGCGGAGGGTTCTGCATTTCTGCTCAATCAGAGATAAACAGTATGGGCCTGCTTACCTCATAGTGTCCTGTTACCTAGCAACCAACATGTCCAGGCATTACAAAGATGGGGGCTATATGAATATACACCCTTATTTTCTGTTAACAATAGATAGGATAAAATGAAACGGGGAAAACAGCTATAAATCATCATCATCAACAACAAAATAATTTCTAAAAGTTAGCTTTAGAATGAACACACTATCAAAAAATGTAAAGCTGATCTGTATGTGATTTCAATGGCCTCCTAGTGCTTGGTGGGGAGCATACTTCCTGTGTTCCTAAGTCTTTTTTAATATCTAAAATTTTAAAAATAATAACAGGAAAATTATGATGGTAATTATAATAATGCATTCCTTCATATCACCACTTACTAAATGTTATTATTTATAGTGAAGTTCCTTTGCTTCTATTACCATAAATAACATTTATATAAGAGAAATTGTTATACCCTGTGGAAAAATAATATTTCAAAGCTCGTAGACTACCAACCATTTCAACTGACTTTACTTACACTCCTAGGTCAATATAGCTTTTTTCAATTAAAATTTTTGAAGGTAAAGAGAATGCAATCAAGCAGGTAACAGCAAAAGTTGAAGTGTGGAAGTGAGGAGGTTACTATCGGAAATGAAGAGGAGTATGTGAATCTATCACCAGCTGGTAAATTTAACAATAGAGTCACCGATGAAAGAATGGGCAAAAAGGATGGGGCGAGAAAAACAGAGGAAAGGAACAGAGTGTGAGATTCTTAGGGTGGAAACAGAAAGGGGATAATGAAGGCAGTGCCCAGAACCGGTTTCCTAGTGAAAAGGTTAATTAAATCTTTCGTGGCATGGAATTCTTAAAGAACTACTTTTCTGACTGTGTGTGCATATATTCATGTGTGTTCTTTGTAAACACACAGAGATGATAATGATTCTCTCCTAACGTCCTTTTTACACTAATGCTTTAGAGCATTTTTTAAAAAGGACAGTAATTTACTTTTTTAAGCTTCTTACATGTCGAGCGGAAAGAATTTTAACACAGCTGACCTGCAAATAAATCTTACGAGCTAGAGTTCTCTTTTCATTGTTCTGCTTTATTTTCTTCAAAATTTAAAGGCAACAACAAAGAAAGTAAATCTTATATCCTTATTAAGATTAATGGCAAAATGAATGAACGCATATAAACAATAGAAGGGACAAAACCCACAGGGCTCAGGAGCTTTAATACTACCCCAAAGACCATGAGGCTGATTTCTAAGCTGAAGAAATGATTATAGATCATCCCAGGAGTATGCCAACCAATAAGACGGCAGCAGCACTATTTGTTTTCTGCCTTTTGTGTGTTTCTTAACGTTAACCTTGCCAGGCTGTCACACAGATTCCAGCAGCCTGGGGCAGTTTGAGGGCTCTGAGAGGGAGGGCAGAGTTTTTGATGTCAGTCTAAAGGGCAAAGGCTGATCAGTATAGTCAAGAATACAGTCCATTCAAGGCTTGACATGGTGTCTCCATTATTGTTACCCTTTTATGCCCATCTTTGTAGTTTATACCCACTTCCACTGGAAGGTAATACACGCAATAAGTACTTCCTTTTGTTTGTTCTGTATTTAGCCTTACCCTTGACTTTAAAAAGCATTTGATTTATTTGTTTTCAGAATGGTGGCGTATTATGGCTACTGAAATAATTGCTGTTGATCAGGCTACAAGTTGTAGAAGAAAAAGTATTAATATACTTGCTCAACGAGAAGCCAGCCTTTTGAGACACTCCTGTGCTTAAATGGAATGCGTTCATGTGGAAAATCAAAAACAACAGAGTGTGGCAGTTTCTTCAGAAAGAAATTTTTTTTCTTCTCTATTTTGTCAGAAAGCAAATGCAAGAAACAGGAAAAAAAGGAAAATCTGTCATAGATATCTCATTCTGCCCTCAAGTCTTAGGAGAAGTTGCCAGTAGTTTCTTCCCCAAAGAAAGGCATTTCTTCCTTCTTTACCAGTAAGAGATGAGTTCAGTTTGTGAAAACTGAGCAGGATGAATGTATTTATGGGTTGAACCAAAATAATAACAATAGAAACAATAATAATAAAAAATATATATAAAAAAAGAAGCATCACAGAACCAGGGATGGCAGAACAATGAAACATAGAATCTGCTATAGTAATTTTTACTACTGTGTGATCCCTGAAAATTTTTTCAAGTTTTTTAAGCCTCACAACAGCCTCAAGAACAAGCATTTTAATATTTAACCACTTCTCTTTTTTTGTAATGTATGCACACTTACTTTCTCATAATTAGGGAGTAAAGTTAGTTTTAACATTAATGAATTCACTCTGTATTAGCTCTGATGATACCACCTGGATGAAAGAATGGACAATATTTATGATTAAAGAATTCATTCAAAGATAGAAATTTAAAACCTTGGCATTAAGAGACAAGAATTAAGGCCCGTTTCATAATTTAAATGCATTATGCCACATCTATTACAAAATGTTGGCTGAATGTATTTGCTGTTGAATTTCACTATTTCTCAGAGCTCTTTGAGCTACATTAAAAAACTATTAGAGGATTTATTATGTTCAAGTTTCTACAGGAAGTAGTTTGGGGGAAAAAAAACAAAGATATCAAAAATGCTGCTCTATCCTTAAGGCATTTGCTATCTGGTTAAAAAGATAAAATTTATAACCCCCAAGTGATTTCAATTCAAGACAAAAGGACAAAAGGAACATGATCTCCAGGAAAAGATCATTGGGTAAGTAAAGCAGAGCTGGCTTTACCTCCTAAGCTGTGTGAATTAAGGTCCACTGGCTCCTAAAAGAAAGCAAACCCAAGAGAAGAAGGAAACAAAAATCAATAATCAAGCTCCTGCTGATCTCACGTTGCACTTGGGACAGGGTGATGTCTGGTTCCAACTTGACCCTTTTCTTGTGCACCCACTGGGAACTATGACCTCTCATAGGAAGACTGATTTCTAAGTTAAGGAAATAATTATATATCATGTTTCCCAAGTCGTGGCCTCAATTTAATCACTTGAAAAGTAAAATAACCTCATATCTTAGGAGCTAGGACTTGTTTGTAAAAATTTCTGAGATATAAGTCAGATATTTTGGGTACAAGTCATTTACATCATTTACATGTGAGGATACAATTTAACAGATTATGATATAAATAATTAATCTGTCTGATTTGCTATTACTGTCAATAGTACTTATCCTAAAAATAGTGGTAGACACCATTATTAGGAACTTACTATAATGATGCATGCCTTCCCGAGTACTTCATTCAATTCAAGTTAATTCTCTCAAAACCCTATGAGGTACTACCACTATTTCCACTTACAAACAAATAAATATACTCAGAATGGTTAAACCTGAGACTCCAAAGTTCTTAGCTGAGAGAACTGGGATTTGAATCCATTTCCGCCTCTGTGGAGTCTTCCTGTTTCCTGTTCCATTGTTGAATCTAGCTAGACTTAAACATCTAGCTTGTTTTGCTAAACAGCAAGAGTTGATGAAGGAGAAGATGTGAAGAATAGAATATATCACAGGACTTTCTAGAGTTGAATAATCACAAAAAACTATTGACTATTCTCATTTTACAGATAATTAAACTAACACCAAGAAAAGATCAATCATTTGCTGAAGGTTATCTACCCACATAGTCAAAGAGCTGGAAATGGGAGGCAGGCCAATGAATCCTATTCTAGTCCTCTTTTACTTATTCAATATGTTAAAAAGTAAAATGCTCAAGAAAGAATATGGTTCACAGAATTTGCTAATTGTGTAAAAGTCTAAACAGAAATCTTTTTCTATGTCAACGCTTGTTGCCGAAAATCTTCCTAAAATATGCAAGTTGTGAGTATATAATCCAAAAGTAGGATCTCCTGCTTTAGTAAACACAGTACAAAAACAATCTTTCTTTTGTTTATGAAGAGTCAAACTCTGTCAAATATTTGAAGAGATTTATCCTGAGCCAAATATGAGGGACCATGGACCATGACACGGTCCTCAGAAGGTCCTGAGATTATGTACCCAAGGTGGTCAGGGTGCAGCTTGGTTATACACATTTTAGGGAGGCATGAGACTTCAATTAAATATATTTAGGAAATACGTTGATTTGGTCCAGGAAGGTGGAACAACTTGAAGTTGGTGTGGGGGGCTTCCAGCTTAAAGAGCAGATTTTAAAATTTTCTAGTTGACAATTGGTTGAGTTTATCCAAAGACCTGGGATTAGGCCGGGCATGGTGGCTCACATTTATAATCCCAGCATTTTGGGAGGCCGAGGCAGTTGGATCACTTGAGGTCAGGAGTTCAAGCCTGGCCAACATGGTGAAATTTTAGTCTCTACTAAAAATACAAAAATTAGCCAGGTGTGGTGGCACTCACCTGTAATCCCAGCTACTAGGGAGGCTGAGGCAGGAGAATCGCTTGAACCTGGGAGGTGGAAGTTGCAGTGAGCAGAGATTGCACCACTGCACTCCAGCCTGGGAGACACAGGGAGACTCCATCTCAAAACAAACAGACAGACAAACAAACAAAGATCTGGGATCAACAGAAAGGAATGTCTGGGTTGTGATAAGAGCTTGTGGAGACCAAAGTTTTATCATGCAGAAGCAGCCTCCAGGTAGTAGGCTTCGTAGAGAATAGGCTGTAAAATGTTTCTTATCAGACTTAAAAGTCTGTGTTGATGTTAATGCCAGAGAGGTAAAATGAGGCATGTCTGACTTCCACTTTCCTGGCCTGAACCAGTCTTTCAGGTTAAATTTTAAAACAGCCCTGGCTGAGGAGAAAGTCCGTTCAGATGGCGGGGGAGCCTTAGAATTTTATTTTTGGTTTACACTTTGCTTCAACATGCTACAGTGGAGATGGTACTAAAGTAGGATTTATTTGGGTTCTACTCCCAACTTAACTAGTTATTCGCTGTGCCAATGTATAGATTGTTACATGAAGGCTTCTTAGAGAATCACATTTTTTGGTATTCACTCCATATGTTGTGCTTGTGATGGGAAATTTTATGTGTCAACTTGCCTGGGCCATGGGATTTTCAGATATCTAGTTGAGCATTATTTCTGTGTGTGTCTGTGAAGGTGTTTCTGGAAGAGATTAACATTGGAATTGGTGGACTAAGTAAATCAGATGGCCCTCCCAAAAATGGGTAGACACCATCCAATCTGTTGTGGGCTTCAACAGAAGCAAATGGAAGGAGAAGGTTCAATTTTCTTTCTGCCTGCCTGCTTGAGCTGGAACATCATTGTTCTCCTGCCCTTAGTATTCCTGGTTCTCAGACCTTCAGACCTGGACTGCAATCTATACCATCAGCTATACCAAGATTTGCAAGCTTGGTCTCCAGCTTGCAAATGGAAAATTGTGGAACTTCTCAAGCCAATTGTGCAAGCCAATAACCTTATAATAAATATCTTCACTATAAGTTTCTCTTTCCTTGGAGAACCTGATTAACACAATGTCTCCTGCATTGAATCTGGACTTATTCATGACTTCCTTTGGTCAATGGTATAATATATCACCAAGTGTGAAACAAGCAAGGCTTGCACACTGGGGACAGCTGGGGTAGCCATGTGAAAAAGCCCAGTCTAGCCTCTTTGAGTATAAAAGACCATAGGTGAGATATGCTCAGCTGGCCTACCCATTGCTATTGTAGCCAAGCTCAGTCCTTAGCCATGTAGTCCAGAACCCACTACTTCTAAGCACCTAGTGGAGGCACTACCAACTATGAATATTAAAAATGAGTAACCCTAAGGTAGAAGAGTTTACCCCATCATGGTCTATTTACTTTCAAGAGGACAATATTCTCTCTTCTGTGACTTGAGTCTTCAGTGAAAGAACATTAGCGATGTGATCTAAACCTGGCAATGGCTTTTATCTATCCTTTCTTCTTTACACCATCAAGGTCCATGTTTCAAAAAAGGCCTTATTTACTCCCCTCTTTGAGGGTGAGCTATACCTAGTGGCTCATTTCCAAGAAAAAAGGAGGGAAAAAATTTATAGTGAAGAAACTTGGCAAACACTGTCTTATCCGAGTAAACTAGTGACAAACCATGCGACTATCATGTATTTCCTGTTATGAGGTTACAAGAAAGACACTTTTCTATGGTATTCTTTCTCAAAAAACACAACCTCAGTCTAAACATGAGACAAACATCAGACAATCTTAAATTATGGGACATTCTCCAAAGTCCCTGACCAGTATTCCTCAAAAGGTCAGGAAAACAAGAAAAGAGGGAGAAAGTATTACTAACCAAATGAGACTAAGGAAACATGACAACTAAATGAAATGTGACATTCTAGATTCAATTTGAAGCAGAAAGTGGACATAAATGAAAAGACTGGTGAAATCTAAATATAAAGTCTGGAGTTTAATTTAAAAATGGGAGGGACTTTTATCATATAACGAGTGTCTCTACCTTCTTCTAACCCACTGAATTTCTTTCCTAAACAGCAAGAGTTTATTATGTCTCTAGATACAAAATACACTAAATTAAGTCAAATTATTATTATATTTTTTAAGAGACAGGGTCTCGCTCTGTAGCCCAGGCTAGAGTGCAGTGGAGCAATCATGGCTCACTGCAGCCTCAAACTCCTGGGCTCAAGCAATCTTCCCACTTTAACCTCCCAAGTAGCTGGGACTAAGGTGACCATCACCATATTCAGCTAATTTAATTTTTTTTAGAGATGGGATCTTGCTATGTTGCCCAGGCTGGTCTTAAACTCTTTGCCAAAGTGATCCTCTTGCCTTTGCCTCCCAAAGTGTTGGGATTATAGGCACAAGCCTTGGTACCCAGCCAAGTAGAATTCTATTCAATGTGAGGTCTTCATCAAAGGTGGACAAAAAAGGTAAAGAGGGAAAGGAAAGAAGGAAGCTCCTTTCTTTGCAAGGGAAGAAGGAAGGAGGGAAGGGGGGAAGGGGGCAAGGGGGAAGGGGAAAAAGAGGAAAGAGGGAAGGAGGGAAGGAAGGGAGGAAGGGAGGACGAATTAGGAAGAAGAAAGGGAGGGAGGGATATTTGGAAGGAAGAGAGGGTTAGAAGGAAGAAAGAAAGGAAGGGAGAAGGAATGAGGAAGTAAGGAAAGAAACGGGAGAAAATGAACTGTTTTGTGCTTATATCATCTTGTTCAATCTCTCTCTCTCTCTCTCTACCCATTTCCATAAAAATTGGATACACTTAGAAAATCTCTTACTGTAGAACTAGTGGAAAGATTCAGATAGTTGGATTTTAGGTAATTTAGGTTTATCTATTGACATCTTATAGTGAATAGCTTGTAAACTAATTATGAAGCGTATACACACATATTGCTTTTAATAGAACTATTTAAAACAAATATTCGTTTAAAAATTTTATTGTTAAATATGCTTAGGTCAATTCTAACAAATCACAGACCTTTTAATACCCACGTTGTATACTAACATTTGTTATTCTGAGGCATAAACAAAACTGAAGTATTGTTGTTTTGTTTTTGTTTTTTGTTTTTGTACATAGAGGTTAATATTAGGCGGTGGACACTAATATTGGTTTACCTAAACTGATTGGTTATGCCAAAGTGGTCTGGGATGGAGATAGGGAGAATCTAACAATTTGCAAGGGTCGACACGATAAAAGCTTACACTTCAACAGAAGTGTATCTGGCTTTTTAATTATTCATGAAAATAAAAATATAAGTCCTCTGCTTTATGGGGTATTTACTTCCTTTTCAAGAGTTTCGTTCTGCAAATGTGATGGGAAAAAGTTCAGCATATGAGGCCGGGTGTGGTGACTCATGCCTGTAATCCTGGAAATTTGGGTGACTGAGATAGGCAGATCACTTGAGGTCAGGAGTTCGAGACCAGCCTGGCCAACAGAGACCCTCTCTCTACTAAAAATACAAAAATTAGCCAGGCGTAGTGACACACACCTGTGTTCCCAGCTACTCGGGAGGCTGAGGCACGAGAATGGTTTGAACCTGGGAGGCGGAGGCTGCAGTCAGCCAAGATCACACCACTGTGCTCCAGCCGGGGTGGGTGACAGAATGAGACTGTATCTCAAAAAAAAAAAAAAAAAAAAAGGTTGGCATATGATACTGAGCAATGCTATTGTGACGGGGAAAAAAGAAAAGATTCTGATAGAAAACTACATCATCTGAGCCTTTTGATTTTTTTAAAGGCATATTGGAAAGAGATCAAAAAGTGTCACTTGGCAGATAACATTAAAAAGAGCCAGCAAGGTGAGGGAGCAGAGGCAGACAACCAGGAGAAGTGTGCTAATGCCAAATGTGTCACTTTTAGAATCAGTCACACACTCAGTCATGTGACAAGGGTTATTCTCTCTCAATTGGTGACCGTGAGTTCCTTGAAGCCTCCAGTGGTGGGACTGGTTGAGTAACTTGCAAAATCCATTGTCTTGGATTATGAAGAACTCATGTTTGAGGTCCAAGCACCTATTTTGTTGAAACCCCAACTTTGAATTTAAGGATGATTATGTTAAGCCTCCCCAGCAGGGGTCACTAAGTTAATGATAAATATAAGCTCGGTTATGACTTGTAACAGCTGCTTCCAATGACAACATGAGGGGAAAAAACTCCGATGTCAAAGACCCTGCTGGGGAAGCTTTGGAAGAAAACACAAAATTATTTCTCAATGATAAGGACAGTATTTTACATAGAGAGTCAAAATAGAATAGTTGCCCTTTAGCATAATGTTTACAGAGAGAAAAATAGTCTACAGCCTGTTAGCTTTTAGGATTTTTTTTTTTCTTTTTGAGATGGAGTTTTGCTCCTTTTGCCCAGGCTGGAGTGCAGTGGCGCAATCTCGGCTCACTGCAACCTCCGCTTCCAGGGTTCAAATGATTCTCCTGCCTCAGTCTCCCAAATAGATGGAATTACAGGCACCCTTCACCATGCCTGGCTAATTTTTATATTTTTAGTAGAGATGGGGTTTCGCCATGTTGGCTAGGCTGGTCTTGAACTCCTGACCTCAGGTGATCCACCTGCCTTGGCCTCCCAAAGTGCTGGGATTACAGGCGTGAGCCACCACGCCTGGCCAGCTTTCAGAATTATGTACAGATAAACTTGTCCTATTTGCATATTATGAATCTATATAGGAAAGAGACCTAACAATGGACATTTAATAATTTTCTCAACCATGATTTCACCCAAACTTTATAGTTAAAGAATTTGAACACAATAGAAGTGATAGCATTTTACTTAGACATATCCTGATTTCATTTAGGACTGAGTCACTTAAGTCCATCTTCATTTCCAGGGGTAACACTGGTCACATCCTGGTCTTCCATCCACATCCTTCCTGTATTCTCTAGCTCTGGAATAGTTTGACTTTGAAGAGGTAAAATTGATACTAGAAAGTAAGAATGAAAGGCTGAGTGCAATCTTTTATATGAAAATACACCTTACTGAAAGTCAGCCCCGAACAAGTTTCTAAAATTTAAAAGACAACAGTGGGTAACAGAGGTTGCGTCATCTTGGTCATTTTGTCCAAGAATGCTGACTCTTTGATGTTTGAAGAACACATCAAGTGCAATTCCCTCAGAGCCTTAGTGTTGGCTCTTTCCTCTGAGGAAACCCTCTTCCCATAGGCATTTGGGTAGGCAGTCCTACATCTCATTTAGTTGCCTCTCTAATTGTTATTTCCTCACAGAGACAGTCTGTGACCACCAGACCTAAAAAACACACTTGTTACTTTCTCTTTCCCTACCACACTTTGTGTTTTTTGTTTTGTTTTGTTTTGTTTTGTTTTTTCAAACGCTTCTCCTTACCTACAATATCTGAATGTCATTGCTATTTCTTATCTGTTGTCCTGGACTAGAACAGTAACCCCCATGGAGGTGGGGTTTTATGATGTTTTCTGCTGAATGTACAGCATCAAGAAGCATGCCTGATACAGTAGGAACTCAATAACTATTTCTAGATACTTTGAATAAATGAATAAACAAACCAATATATGCACCGTGTATTTGCCAATGTGGAGGGCAGCAAAAGACAGATGAGACATGGACCATTGAAACCGCCTTTGCAAAATTATGACTTATACAGTGAAAGAGATCTAATCTAACCAATTCCATCTTGGTTCTAACCTTTAAGCTGTCCTTGTTCCTTCTTGGGCATAGGCTGAACTAACTTTGCAAGGAACTTATAGTTTAAAACAAAGATGATAACAGTCCTTTCCCAAAACAAATCTCCTTCTTGCCTGAGGACTAGACTGCCTTTGTAGGAATAACAAATTAGCCACAAGATTAGAAATTATGGTTTAGGAGTCCTGCAGCTGGAGGCTACAAGATTCTGACCCTCCCTAAACTGCTCCCAAAATCAGTGCTTGAGATATTTTGCAGACTCTGCACTTGATGGATCTGCTGGCACCACTAAGATGGATAAACTGGCTCATCTAATCTTGCGGCCCCCACCCAGGAACAGACTCAGCACAAGAGGACAGCTTCAACTTCTCATGATTTCATTTCCTACCTAACCAATCAACACTCCTGGCTCACTGGTTTTCCCCTGCCCACCAAGTCATCCTTAAAAACTCTGATCCTCCAAATTCTCCGGGAGACTGATTTGAGTAATAACAAAACTCCAGGTCTCCAGTGCGGCCAGCTCTGCGTGAATTACTCTTTCTCTATTACAATTCCCCTGTCTTGATAAATCAGCTCTGCTAGGCAGCGGACAGGGTGAACCCACTGGGTGGTTACACCATGACCACAAGGCATGCATGTCTAACTGAAGAGACAAGAGTTGAGCACCAAAATAATTTGTTGAAGCTCTATATTTCATTTGAACCAAGCCAACCAACCATGGTAGAAAGATGAACTGTTCTTCACTTACAGAAACATCAACTTTCAGTAGGAACCTCTGTCAAATTGATCAGATATTGGAAATATTTGTTTTAACCAAGGCTTCCATTATTTGAGAAGTTCACAAAGAAAAAGCCATTACTCTGCTCTTCCATCAAAGATGGCTTTGGGGGCTGGGTAGCACACTGTTCTAAACCCACATAGAATTTCCCAGAGTATTATGTTCTTATTACATTTTGATATTTATTCTTTCATCTCTAAATTCATAGCATAGACTAGCACATCAGACACTTTCAAGATGAGAGATCATCTTGTGAACTAACAGCACTTAATTAAATTTTTCTTTTGCCGATTTTTCTCTTTTCTGGTTATCACAAAAATGTAGTCTGAGTAGATGTGAAAATGCCCTTTTTGTTCTGTACCTCCTGTCCATGAATTAGAGCTTTAAAATCTAAAATCTTATTAGCTTATTCTCCCAAACTTCAAATTAAGTTTTTAATCCTGCTTTATTTTGAATATATTGAAAATAAAAAACAAGTCGGGGAGCCCCACTCTCTGAAATTCTCAAACACATGAGATTACCTGAAACCATCAAAAAGTCACCTCTTTTCCATTGTCTACACAACCTCCATCCTGAAATTAATATTCAATTAATGCAAATATCTCTGCCTGACTTTCCGGAAAGCTGGCAACCTCATGCTTCCCTCCTGCTTTGACAGACTCACTGTTTTTTTTTGTTGTTGTTTTTTTTTCCTTCTCTACTCGTTAAGGAAAGAAAAATAGTGGGAAAAGTAAGGGGTTAAAAAGACGCCCCTCAATGAATGTGTTTAATAGCTGACATGTCTTCTTTCTTTTTTGTTTAAACTGGCACATACTCAGTGTGGCATTGTTCACTTTGAAGTGGTTTTCCATTGTTCTCTTACCAGCCTTTATCAAGGCCTACTGACAGATGACCTATCAAATGCTTCCTCCTTTGTCTTCTAACCTCCTTACCACCCCTAATTTCTTTTACTTTCTTTCTTTCTTTCTTTGCTTAGGGAAGGCACAATCTGCTCACCCTCCAGCTCTTCCCCCTCCAGGGGAAGCAGTTGGTAAGCCTGGACCCTCCCAAAGCCAGGGGCTGTTATGCAGAGCGTGACTGGATCCCAATTATTCAAGAAGAAGCAGTGCATAAATTAGTAGATCGTGTTTCTAAAGCTGTCATGGATAAATTGTTCTTATTTCCTGAAACTGTCATAGGAAAGGAGTGGGATTCTAAGATAGCTTTGACACCCCTGTTGCTCCTTGAAGACAAAGAAGCCCTAATGTCTCCTGCAAGGTCTGAGCCTGGAACAGGCTTACAACAGGCCAAAGTCAAAATGAAGATTTAGGAAATAAAATAGAACTCGTGTCATGGTTGGAAGGCAAGTTTCAAATCAAAATAGATAAGACATATATCAATAATAATACTTGTTTCATGAATCACCTGCAGTATTTATGCTTAGGATGCTTGGATGACATTGTCACTGGCATATATCATCTACTACCATTTGGGGGTTGGGGCAAACCAACTCCTAATTCCACCAAAGTTACCTTCAGCCCTGGGAAGGCTGCTAGGCTGAAGCGACAAACTGAGCTTTCTCAAATCTTCCTGCACACAAGCCTGCTCAAAGTCCCTCTCCTCATTTGGGCCTATCTTCAGTCTCAACAGATACTGGCTCTATTCCATATCCTCCCTTGTAACTGTAATCCCTCCCTTTGCCCCTCAAATTTTGACTCACAGATTGTACCTTCTGGCATAGTCAACATAACTTTTACAGAATTCAATTTCGTTCTTATTAGATGATCCCTGATACCAACAAACACATATACAGATGTATATACAATTATATGAGATAATTTTAATTATTTTTCATCAAAATACCTGGGAGTATTTCTGAGGAAAAAAAAGTATTTTCTGGGGAAAAAAGTATTTTCTTCAAATTATAAGCAGAGGTAATTCTAAAAATGAACTTCTGTAGAATAGATCCTCTTCAAAGGTAGTAGAAGTGACATGTCATGATTTATGGCTGGTGACATACTAACAAGTTATTTTCTTTAGACAAATTGATTCTGTGCTTTCCAATTTTTGAGAAATTTAGTCACAATAATCTGAATTGAGCCAAAGTACTGTTAATAGTAGATAATATCTGCACAGACAAAAATAAACTAAAATTTTAAATGGTACCATTTATTTGATTGGCAGAAACACGAATCATAAATATTTTTCTCTCTGTAGCATTTATATTTAAATGACTGTTTCTCTGCTTTGCTCCACTCCAAATGGATATAAATATGAAAGCAAATTATTTAAGAGAGGAAATTCTAGTACTGCTATTTGTTTACCAAAACTTAAGATCAATCATTACATTTTCTAGTGTCAGATCCCTTAAGTACATAGTAGGTTTTATATTCACATATTGGAAAAGAAAAATCTATTGTTAGTCTGTATGAATTTCTTACTTTCTTTTTTTTCTTTTTTTGTAACGGAGTCTCACTCTGTCGCCCAAGCTGGAGTGTAGTGGCAACATCTTGGCTCACCGCAACCTCCGCCTCCTGGGTTCAAGCAACTCGCCTGTCTCAGCTCCACCGAGTAGCTGCGATTACAGGTGCACACCACCACACCCGGCTAATTTTGTATTTTTTTCTTTTATTAGAGACAGGGTTTCACCGTGTTGGCCAGGCTGGTCTTGAACTCCTGACCTGGTGATCTGCCTGCCTAGGTCTCTCAAAGTACAGGCATGAGTCACGGCACCCGGCCGAATTTCTTACTTTCCTTATATGGATACTTCACCATGCTTTCAATCATATTAGAGAATTTGATATAAGTGAAGTCTAGAGACATTTTAAAATTGATGGTGAATTAATTTGAGCAAGTGAACCTCTGAGAAACAAGGCAAATGATTGAACTCTAGATTCCTTTGATAATTCAGGCATCCTAAAAAAATTGTCAGTTTCATAGGCAGAGAAAAAAATTGTTCTCCCCAATATAAATAAAAATTACTGTTCACAGCTATTGATGCACATGAGAAATTAGGCATTGACTTCCTTATATGTGGTTGATTAAACTTAAAGTCGGTAGTAAACTATAATTACCAAAACATCAGGTAGGCATAAGCTACTTCCTCCCTATACTCAATAATGTCGCATCACTGAAAATATGTAGCTATTGTTTTTCAATAGATGGTATAAATCAGGCTCCGATTATCTAAACAGTTACAATTCACTAACTTCTGGATGACATCCAAACTCTTCAAGCACATCTGCTCCACACACCAGCAAAATGTAAGGCAACTAGTGCAGCACAATTCAACATAACAATTTAAATATTTTATATAATTAATGATATGTAATTAAACTTAATGTAATTACATTTGAGTTCTCCGAGGTAACTATTTTACAATTAGTGTTTCATCAACAAATAGCATTTCCAAAGCATAGCACAGCTCTTCCTATAGTAGCAAGTCATACCCAGAAGTGTCCCTGTTAGAGTAAATTAATGGTGGAGCAAACCCAAATATTCTAACCCATCAGCCCTCAGCTCTTTGATTGTGTTAGAAACAAGAGATCCTGCCATGCCAAAACCACACATCAAACTCAATGTCCTGGCTTCACCTTCAGCCTACTGAAAATTGGAAAAGGGATAAGAAGGTCTAACTACTAGATGGCTTTTCTCATAATTTTGTAAACACAGTCAATTACCAAGGGACCTATAAAGAGAAGTTCTAATATTCTGCAGTCATGTCCCAAAAGGGCCAATAAAACTGTCTATTGACCTGCCTTGCTTGTTTGAATCAGAAATTTGGTGAGGAGATTGCAGAGGGCAGCATCTGAGAGGCTGTCCTGCATTCAGTGTTGGAGGGAGGGCATTTATACAGCACCCAAATGGGGGCTGCATCTGCATAGACTCATTTCATGACCTTGGTTCAATTAAATTAATGGCCGCATCATATAACAGGAAGATGGTATCAGTAGGATTTTTGCATTAAGATTTTTGGGGCCACTGGGCCGGGCGCGGTGGCTCACACCTGTAATCCCAGCACTTTGGGAGGCCGAGGCGGGCGGATCACGAGGTCAGGAGATCGAGACCATCCTGGCTAACACGGTGAAACCCCGTCTCTACTAAAAAATACAAAAAATCAGCCGGGCATGGTGGCGGGCGCCTGTAGTCCCAGCTACTCGGGAGGCTGAGGCAGGAGAATGGCGTGAACCCAGGAGGCGGAGTTTGCAGTGAGCCGAGATCGCGCCACTGCACTCTAGCCTGGGTGACAGAGCCTCGGTCTCAAAAAAAAAAAAAAAAGAAAAAGAAAAAGAAAAGAAAAAAGATATTTGGGGCCACTGAACTGATTTATGGAGCATTTCTGGACATAATTTAAAATATGCCGTTTCCCAGATTTGCTTGAGTTTTAAAAAAATGTAGCAAAAGTTTCCTTCCTTAGATGAGGGAACATAGGTACAGCTATCTGGACTAGCTCCCTAAACTTAATCTTCTCAGGCCCACAACACCTCTGGAAGGAATCCAGATTTATCTTCCACCCATTCCTTCCTCTCAAAATAATTCAGTTTTCTCTGATTTGTTCATGCCTAAGATTAAGTTCTCTTTCTTTTCTTTAAGAAGTTTTGTTAGCAGCAAAGTATTACATGTCCATAGTAAATGTCAAATTAAACCTCCAGGCCATAATGATAAAGCAACTATCTGCTGACACAGCTCTACTTAGATAAAATTATTGCTTTTAGAAGTGACCACTCTCAACTCATATGAATTCTTCTCTTATTTCTAAATAATGTTCTTATTTTGTGATGTTTCCACTTTAACATTGTTAAATGACTTTCTACTATGGAAAGTGAGAATGTAGTTTTCTGTCTCCAGTCCATAATGATAAAGCAAGTATCTCCTGACACAGCTCTACTTAGATAAAATTATTGCTTTTAGGAGTGACCACTCTCAACTCATATCAATTCTTCTCTTATTTCTAAATAGTGTTCTTATTTTGTGATGTTTCCACTTTAACATTGTTAAATGACTTTCTACTATGGAAAGCGAGAATGTAGTTTTCTGTCTCTATTCAAAACATACTTCTTCTTTTACTTTCTGTCAATATAGATGTAGCATTTATATATAATATATATTCATTACTATGAGTTTTCTGCATTGTAGAGTCACAGCATAGAAGGATGACATATCCTTTCTTATAAAAATTTTTGTTTTAGCTAGGGTGAATATTTTTATGTGCCTAATTATTTATCAATAATTATTACCCCAACTGTCCCTACAGAACTACAACCTTTTGCCCAGTGAAGGTGAACACATCTAGGTCCACTTAGCAGTACAACACTCCTCCTGGAGCCACTACTAGTCCACTCGAAACTCAGCAAACTGCCACTCAGCTGTCATCTGGAAGCATCCCTTCTAGCACCACCTGAGAACTTCCCTTTGCCTCTTTCCTGAAGAGGATCTGCTTTTCTTGGGTTCTGAGTCTTCCTCTTTATTGGTTCTTTCCCATTTTAATAGAAGCTCATTCTTAAGTGGCTTCCTGAGAAACGTTACTTAGGATGCAAAATTATTGAAAACTTAATGTTGGGAAAAAGACCTTACATTTGTTTGAAACTTGGCTGCACACAGAATTCTAACTTTGAAAATTGTTTCTCCTAAGACATGAAATACATTCTTTAACTGTCTTTGTTTTATCAGTGTTGCTATTAAGAAGTGTGAGTCTACTCTGATTCTTTTATTTTTTGTATGGGAATGGTATGGTCTGAATGTTTGTTTTCCCCTAACATTCATATTTTGAAATCCTAGTCCCCAGGGTGTTTAGGGAGCGATTGGGTCATCATTGTGGAGCCCTCATGAATGGGACCAGTGCTCTTATAAAATAAACCCAGTGAGTTGCATTGTCACTTCCACCACATGAGGACACAAGAAGGTGCTGTCTATGAACCAGAAAGCAGGCACCTTAATCTTGAACTTCCCAGCCTCTAGAAACAAATTTTGGTGTAAGCCACTCAGTTTATGCTATTTTGTTATAGCAGCCAAAATGGACTAAGACAGCAAATGTGAATGTGTTAATTTTCTTTCTTTCTTTTCTTTCTCCTTACTTCCCTCCCTCCCTCCTTCCTTCCATCCCTTGTTTTCTTCTTTTCGCTTCTTTCTCTTTCTTTCTTTCTCTCTCTCTTTCCCTCCCTTTCTTTCCTTCCTTCCTTCCTTCCCTCCCTCCCTCCCTCCCTTTCCTTCCTTTCTCCCTTCCTCCCTCCCACCCTCCCTCCCTTCCTCCCTTCCTTCCTTGGCATGTGTGTCCCTGATGTATTTTTCCCTAAAGTTCTGAAATGTCATCATGTCCCTTAGGATGAATCTTTTCGCATTTATTGTGCTGGGAACTAGATGACCTGGGTCCTTTCATTCCAGAAATTCATATCCTTATTGGATTGTTTCTATTATCATTTCCTCCTCTCTGCTTTCTGGTTTTGTCTATCAAGAAATGCTGTGATGCACATGTTGAATCTCCTAGAACAGTAGTTTTCAAAGTCCTGTTCACAGACCAGTAGCATCGGATCTATCCGGTAACTTGTTAGAAATGTATATTCCTAGGTTGAATTCTAGACCTTCTGAATTAGAAACTCTAGGTGTGGGGCCTTGCAATCTGAATGTTAACAAGCCCGCCAGCTGATTCTGATGCAAGGAAATTTAGAGAATCACTGTCCTAGACTGACCTTCTAATTTTTCTTTTCTCCTACATTCTATATTTGTCTTCTTATCTATTGTGAGATATTTCCTCAATGTTATCTTCCAATCATTCTACTGTGTTTTTTATTCCTTCTATCAGGAAACCCAATTTTTAATTTCTGAACACTTTTTCTTATTATTTGAAAGTTTCTCCCTTATTTTATAGCTACCTGTTCTTACTATATGATTGCTTAATATTTTCTTATCTCTGTCAAAATATTAAAGTTATGTTTTATTTGAGATTGTTTTCTGCTTTCAGCAGACTTCTCCATTTCTCTTGGATTCCTATTTGCTGGTTTTACTTTCTCTATTTTAGAAGATCTTATAAATATTTGGCAATATTTAAACATCCATATCTATTTGAAAGTGAAGAAAAATAAAACTACTAAAAAGTCTGTGTGCACAAGTGGGGCTGGGTTTCCCTCTAGCTGTTTACTGGGCACTTCCCAAAGGTCAGCACCTATTGGGCCAGTTTTCCAGAGAGGAATTCTCCCATCTCCTGTGGAGGCATCAGGGAAACAGACTACTTTCCAGCATGAGAAGAGCCCAGAGGATAGCGACGGCTGTGGGATCTCACCAACCAGTTTGCCTGCCTTTCACTTAGTCCCTATTTTCAGTACAATTTTTCGCCCCACTCTCAACTGTTTCTGGACTCCCCAAATCTTCCTCTCTGATTTAATCTCTCTAGAAAGAGCATTCCCTCTTCTGCTGAAGTAAGGATATCCAATTGCTCAGCTCTGTGGGACCAGGGAGAGTCTGTAGGTCTAATGTCTAATGTCCCTTTGCCCTTTTCACCTGTTTTCTGTCTTATTCTGCACTGCTACCATCAAAGTGACCCATTGCCTCAATTCTTGTGTTGTCCTGGAGTACTACAGCCCACACTTACTTGTTCAGCAGCGAGTTGTAGTTATTTGTTCCCCACCAGGGTATTAATTCAGTTACTATTTATCCATCCACCTTTCAGAATTCCAAAATTTTGCTTTTTGCTACCTGCCATCCTTATCACTCTCCTTCTTGCTGTCCTTGGGGGTTAACCTATCCATATTTCCTCCTGTCTTGTTGGCATCGAGGGTATAGAAGTAAACTTATATATTGAGGTCATGACATTCCCCAGAAGCCCTGGCCATACTGGGGAACATCAGTGGTGCATGATCCTGAACATACGGTTGAGATGAATTGCTATTCTAGAAGTGCTGGCATGATAGGAATAGGCTGGGGAAGAAGGACCTCAGCTTTCAGTTGGAACCACGTTTATTTTGATAAGAAAGGGAAGCCCAGAACAATTTGATTCTTACATATGCCAACAAGTCTGTAAAATTGTATTTGTCTCATGGTAAAAGGAGAGAACTTTTACCCTTCAACTTAAGTGACAAGCTATGAATTGAATGACAAGCTACAGAAACACAAATCTGTAATTCGAAAGTTAAGAAAGACTTATAGGCGACAATGAAATTTTTCTCCTTTAGTTTGTGACTGCAGTCTCAGTTTTGTCACCTTGACCCCAGGGGACTCTACTCCCTCAGATTCATTCTTCTCTTTTAGATTGACTTTTCAAGGCACAGTAAACTTGAACCAGAGCAAGGCAGTCATACAAGTGACTTGATAGTCAATACCAGTCCAGGCAATTAAAAGGTGTTTCTGCTTGATGTTCTTGTGTGGTGGTTTGGATTTAAATTGACTATTGCTTGGTCCCTTCATGGATTCTCCCTTTCACAACATCTAGTTGCAGAAAAAGGAAAAGAGGGAGTATGGAGGAACTTTGCACACAAAAGCAGTCTTCCTGTGGAATGTCCTTTTGCTGTCAGGCAAATAATTATTAACTTAGCAACAGTGGGAAGAGATGGAGCAAAATAATTGGTGAGACTTTCCTTCACCTCTCCTTTTAATCACAAACCTGCTAATATGTTTACACACCAAATAAAGGGGTGGCATGATGTAGTAGAAAGAACATTGAAGTGAGAATCTAGAGAACCGATTTCTTATTTTTCTCTACCATTAATTGGCGGGCGAGGAATTCGAAGGCAAAAAATTCTGCATCATTTTCAAGCTCTCATAAAATCTGAAATGGTTAGATTCAGGTAAATCACTTAATCATTGGGTTTCAGTGGTCTAATCAATAAGATGGGAAAAATAAGCCACAAAATACCCAATTAATTTTCTATATGAATGTTATAATCCTCACATCAGCATTCCCTCGTCTGCTCCTGTTATCCATGGTCACGGTGGTTGCAATGAACGTGCATTGTTGCAAGGCTTGGGCCATCACCTCCCATCCCACTTTAATTTTTTAACTACAACTTAAGATTTAAAAATTTACTCTAAAACAACAAAAAATGTATTGGGTTCAGTGGTTCGAAAGCATTTGTTGAGTTGTAGTAAAAGCATAAGTGAAACATAATTGGGAAGCTAAATTATTTAATTCATTCCAAAGCTCAGGGCATCTGCACATGTTCAACAGTTGCTCTTGTTTTGGCCTGGTTCATTTGGTTCCTGACTATATGAGTTCTTATCAGGATGACTTTTTAGATTAAACATTTAAATAGCTTAAGTCAGTGAAGCATTGCCTAAACACAAATAAAAAGCAGGGCATTAGAGAATCCAAGTGATCTTCATTATCGTTGGGTTAAGAGATTCAGCTTAAAGTCCCTGGATGGAAGGCCTGGTTTAGGGAAGGTAATCAGCAACTCCCTCCAGGCAATAATATATTTAGGTTACTTGGTCCCCTTTCTTTGCTTTGTGTAGGATCCTGGAGGATAGTGTCATGGTATTTTGGATTATCATTTACTCCCCAAATGAGAGGTTTATTTCTGAGCCTTGACTATCAATTCATTAATTTATAATTACATCATGGATAAATCTAGTATCTGACTGTTGTCTGAACATTGTACTGAGTTCCATCTGTTTCTGCTTTACCTTCTTGTTCTAGTGGTAGAGAAAGGTAGATAAATCTGGTCTGGGCAAAAGGTAAAATGATGGAACATTTATCAAAAGTGGATGGTTGCCACAGGCTAGAACAACATTATAGATAACTTTCTTTTAGTTTTTAAATTATTATCAAGGTAACTTTTCAATTTACCAGCAGCTACTCAGCTACTATTGAAGGGCAAGTAATGAATTATATTGAATGACAAATTCTGATTTAACTTCCATTGGGATCAAAGGTAAAAACATTTTGTAGGAAAGTCATTTCCAAGACTGTAAACTTCACATGAAAATTTAAATATCAACAGAAATATAATCTGATGCAGTTATTTGTCTTCCCTAGAATGAATGATCCAGGTGACTATTTTTTTTTAAATATTTTCCATTCCCAACTACTATACAGAAAAAGCTGTAACATTTGTACACACACAAAATCTCTGCTACAGTTTTTTGTCTTGGAATGAAGGGTGCTTACTTGGAGATGTATAGAATAAAGTGATGAGGGATGACCTTTTAATCTCATCATATTTCTCAGATTCATTAGAAATAACATATTGGAATAGTGTAGAACTAGAAGAATAGTAAAAGATTATTGCCAAGTTTTGGGTCACTGACCCAAATTGAAAATATTTTGCCTCTAAGTGTGATCATTTCTGTCTCTGAATCAAAGAAGGTAAATGGGGCCCATAATGTGCCCAGGGTTATTTAGATTAAAAGTTTTATGTAAAAATAAAAAAGACCTGTATATAAAAATTTGGCTATTTGATCATTTATTTTAAAAAATAAACCAATGACTTTTATGATTTGGATGTTTTGAGAATTAATCAGAAATCAAATCAAAATGCTAGGAATGAAATTTGTCATGTTTTCTACCTATCAGAGAGGTCTTGCAGTTGGCTGAACATATAACTGGTGTCTCAACTGGATTAACACTCCCCACCTCACCCATAAATATGTTTTGTGACATTAAAAATTACTCAGCTTTCCCTTCATTTGTGATAGATAATCCAAAATCAAACTAATCGTGTCATAAACATAGGAAGTCAATGGTGAGCGAGTTTGCACTCCTCCTTATAAAACAACTAAGTGGGAGGAATATCTAGGTCTGGCTCTTAATTAGCTAAGAACAAAACCAGAAACTCCTCCAGGCAAAGAGAATCAAAAGTGTAGAATTATGAGATGATAACACTGGAAGTGTGGTGATTAACGCGGTTCATCTGTATCACTTTTACCATGAAAGTTGAGATCCAGAGAGGTTAAGTGATATGTAGAGGATTATAGCCAATATAATCTAATTTATCAAACATAATATTTATGAGCCTAGTAAAATGCTAGCACTAAGGAAAAAGAGGGAGAAAATACTCTCCCCATCCATGAGGTTTTCACAGTCCCATGCAGAAATAGGTGTATAGACATATAATTATGGTGCAGTCTCTCTCCAGACAACATGGGATTAGGACGTGCATCTCTTGGCTTCTCAGTGCCATGTACACCAACCCAGCTGTCTTTAACACCCTGAAACTTGGCCCTAAGTGAATCAGATCTGTTTGAAGCAGACAGGCAGACTGCAGTGAGAGAAAACTTAACATCACTTCAACCACATTGCAGGGATCCACAAGAATGGCTGGAGCCCTGCTGGTTAAAATAAAATCTCGACTATTAATATAATACAGTGATCACCTGCACTTAGGAAACCTTGACCCTCTCCTAAGGGGCCCCTCAGCAAATTCTTTCTAGTTTAGAATCCCGGGAAATTCTTCCAGCTAACACTGGCGAAATGTAGCCACAGCCATGTGGCGAAGCTCAGCAGCACAATTTCCATCAGCAATCCTCTACCAAAAGCAGCCAGGAGGGGAAGAGATGCAGCCAATTGGAGCATTCGTGCAGACTGAGAAACTGCATTTGGCACTTGCTTCACACACACTATGGGGAACATCACAGAGATAGTGTGGCTCAGTGAATCAAGTGCGGAGCTTAGAGAACAGCTTGGTTTTTGTCTCAGCACAGACTCAATCTTGCCGCACAATACTGGGTCACTCACTTTAATCTTGTATATTGCAGTGTCTCTATCACTACATAAGGGAAAATAATAAACTCTAATGTTATCACATTTCCCCTTCTCTAAACATGATGGACATAGAATAAAGAGTTTCTCAATGAAGCTCCCCAGAAAAGAGTCACAATAGGACAGCATGCTGTCCAAGAGATCTGAAGGCGACATTTCTGACCCATCTGGGTGGGGACATATGTTTTGACTTTTTTTTCTAGCAGTAAGGATATATTTGTATTTAGAATGCCACTCTCAGATACAGTCTTCCTGGGAAACCCATGGAGTTAATGGTAGTGCTTATAATTGAAAACAAGAATTAAAAACAAACAAACAAAAAAAGAAAACAACAGACCATTAAAGTCAAGGCCCTGGAGTGCTCTACACTATGATCTTACCCAAAAGATTTCACCAAGCATGTCCCTTGAGCCTAGCACTGTGGCAAGTCTCACTGTTGGCCAAGTTAGAGCGTAGCATGGGATACCACTTCCCACTTCTCTTTTTCTTCACATGTCACATAATATGTGATGGGCAACATGTAAGTAGAATGCAATCTATTCACATATATTTATCAATTGTCTTAGTCCATTTGGGTTATAACAAGATACCATAGACTGAGTGGCTTATAAACAACAAAAATTTATTTCCTACAGTTTGGAAGCTGGGAAGTCCAAGTTCAAGGTGGTGGCGGATTGAATGTCTGGTGAGGGCCCATTTTCCAGTTCATAGATAGTCATGTATTCATTGTGATGTCACATGGCTGGAGAAGTGAGGGAGGTCTCTGAGGTCTCTGCTATAAGGGCACGAATCATATTCATGAAGACTGTGCCCACAGTGAACTAATCATATCTCAAAGGTCCCATCTCCTAACACCATCACTTTGGGGGTTAGGATTTCGACATATGAATTTTGGTGGAACACAAACATTTAGACCATAGCATCAATACACACTATATATATACATATATATGTTATATATATGTATATATATATACACACACACACATATATATACACATATATATACACATATATACATATATATACACACATATATACATATATATACACACATATATATATACGCACATATATATATACACACACACACACACACACACACACACACATATATATTTAATGGAGAGGGCAGGCGGGGGGATGTCTGCTGAGCATTGGCAATTCATTAGCTATCCAAGGGATCTCAGGAATACAGTCTAACTGTATTGGCATCTAACTAACCAAGTAAAAGCACATTATGGTAACCTCTTGAAGAAATTTGTGTCTTGTTTGTTTGTTTTTAATGGATTAACTATTTTTTAAATTTTCCTCCAAGGTAGAATCTAGATAATTTTATTATGCTTCTATTGGAGAAAAATTTTATGGCTTTTATTTGTAATACAACTGCCTATGTCCTTTAAAATATCATTACTTATTTAATCTGCATATAAAAAGTGGATTTTATAGGCCATTTTCAACACCACATTAAATAAAAATGGGCATTTTTCTATCTTGAAGGTTTTCAGTAATAGGCAAAGTAAAACAATATCCATATCATTCCTTCCATGGCTCAGAGAAGACACTGAATTAAATTCTTGAATTAATTAGCTGCAGAAGCTATTTGTCCATTTGTCCAAGGTCACAAGTGCCAGGCACAAAAAGACTTAATCTCTTTTTGTTTCAAAGATTACACTTAGAGACCGCCATTTTCAATGAAAGTAAGAAACTCTATGGCTCGATTATTAATTTGTCAAAGTATTAAATAAGAAAGGTTTCACCTTCTCTTAAGACTGCCTGACCCTCAATGTTCACCTGTGACTTAGTAGGCTTAACAAGCCCCTTGTGTCTTGTTTCAACCAAGCAGAACTGCGTTGTTCATCAACAACAACTGTGCTTGAATGAACTTTAATTTACTGTGCTGGGTCTATGTTGTTCCCCTCTTCTCTCTTAAAAAAAAATACATAAATAAAGGCAGAATGACTGTTTAAAGGTGAAGGTGATTAATGGGTTAATGTAAAAAGGTGCAGTTTCAACCATCCACTTTGGTACATTCACCTTTGGAAACACTTCAGTTCCACAATTCAGCATGGGCAAATTTATTTTTGTAGTAATGCACAGAGGATTTAAAGCTGGGTGGTTTATGCTTATAGCAACAGTAGATAAACAATAAAAGCAGTTGAGTGAAGCAGGTAGAAGAGAGAGGTCCTTAATTTTGAAGAAACATGGAGCATTTTCAAGTTATTGAAGGAACTATCATGCCTGGATTTCAAGCTTGGGGTCTCCTGCAACTCAGTTTCCAAATTTAACCCTACAGGGAAGAGGGGGTATGTTAAAGCTTTAGTTGTATATCCCCCCACCAAAATCCATATACTGAAGTCCTAACCCCCAGTACCTAGGATATAAGGTCTTTAAAGTTGTGATTAAGTTAAAGCAAAGCCCTTAACTTTTTTGGGTGAGCCTTAATCCAATCTTTCCAGTGTCTTTAGAAGAAGAGAAAATTTGGACACACAGATATGAACACACAAAAAGGCCCTGTGAGGAAGGTAGCCATCCATAAGCCAAAGAGAGGCCTCAGAAGAAACTAAACCTGCTGATACCTTGAGTTGGATGTCAGCCTCCAGAACTGTAAGACAATAAATGTCTGTTGTTTAAGCCACCCAATCTGTGGTATTGTTATAGCAGCCCTAGAAAATGAATACAGGTATAAGGGAATGCTTTCCTCCCCATTTCTGTGCTGCAATTATCTTGTTCAATGGTAATGGTCTTATAGTGGTTCCAGCGATCACTAAGCTAAGCACTTGTATTAGCCCCCCACCCTCCCACCTGTAGTGTTTCATTACTGCTCTTGCAATTAGATATTTTCTCCATAACCAAACTGTATGTTTCTCCAGGCCACAATACCTATCAAGGGCTTCATTAGCAAGAATTAATAAGTGCTTTTCTATTGGCAATATGTGAGGAATTTGGTACCTTAATGGTGCAACCTGGTACTACTTTTAAGGTTTCCAAATAAGGGTGTTCCCTTAGCTTTTGATAAAATGAAGGAATAATTCATCTAGCAGGAGGAGTCCTGTATAAATAAGCTAGGAAAAATGGTAACATAAATGCATCTCTTTAAAAATGCAGTTTAGATTTGATCACCAAGAAAGAATAAATACAAAGGCTTGGAGCTCTAAACCTTAAAGGAGATGAATTAAGATGCAAGAAGATTAAAACTCACTACTGCATATGGTCCACTGGGCAACAAAAGTGAAGCAAAGCTACTTAGAATCTTTAGTGTTAGGCTGAGAGGCATAAATTAATAATCAGCACCCTTTGTCTAATAAGAGTTGAGGTGAAGGACCTGGAACAACTGGCGGAGGGGAAAGAAGTTAAAAACTAAATGATCAGAAAGTCAAAATTTCAACCTTTGTTTGGAATGTTCTTTCCTACCTAGAAAACTCCTACTCATGCTAAAACTCCTTAGATTTTATGTCCTCTCCTCTGGCAAAGTTTGAACTCTCAGAAGCTCAACACTTCCACAGTCCTTTGTGCATACCTCAATTATAGCATTTATCAGATTGTGTAGCAATTATTCATCGATGTAATTATATTTAAAGCATTGATTTAAGATGGATTACTAAGATCAATAATTCAAACATGGTGCAATTATTTCTTGCCACATAGAATTTTTAGTTTATGCTATGGAAAGAAGCCTCTTAGACTTTTTAAAACATAAATCTCCTATCACATATCACCTGGTCATACATAAAAAGGATAATATAAGCAAAAATATGAGTGAATTATTTCTAATCTTTAAAACTCAGACTCTTACTCCTTTTAGTCACTTTTTGAGTCAGAGTTACAAATATCTGTGGTTTTCCCATATAATTTTACCTTTCATGCCATCAAAAATGTCTGTGATACAATATGCCTTTAAAAGAATACTTCCTATTGTATCTGGGATTTTCTTCCTAATCTCTGAAATCCATCAGCAAGGTTTTGTGCTTTTGTGCAGGCAATGATAATTATGTCACAACTTCTGTCAGCCCAACAGTGACTACCATGTTCAAAGACAGTAAAATATGGGGAAAAAAGTGTGCTTTAGAAGTAAGGAAATACAGTAATTGATATACCCTTTCCCCTGCATCATTCTTTTCCTGTTTTGTTATTCTCTGTGTCCTCAGAACCTAAGCAAGCTCCTGGTGGGGGAAAGCTCTGGATACTTGTGTATTCCAGACCCACGAAAGCTCCTCTGCCTATGTCCCCATAACCAGTCCCCTGATGAAGGCAAGAAAGAAACTGATGAGGATTTTCCCACCACAAATATTTACTCCATCCTCTAATCAAACCACTCCTCCTCCACCCACACACACACACACACACACACACACACTTTATTGCAGTCCTGTTGTAATGTACTCTGATTCCCTGTCGCTCACTAATGGGAGCACATAAAAGAGGAACAAGATAGCCATAGCCAGGAGGCCAAAGCACACTGAGACTGAACATTCCAATGGGCCCGTGTGAAATCCAGGCAGAGCCACGGAAACCTCTTTGTTCTACTGTCCCATGTTATTAGAGTCATGCTCAACTTTCTGTGACCTTGTCTTAAAAAGAGCATGACTCGTTTGATTCCTTGAAGTTATTGAAGGAATTCCAATGACTGTATTGAAAAAAAATCCATAGAAATAAAATACTCTTGCTGGGTTCTTGCAAGAAAAGGATCAGGGAGTGGCTGAAATTTTTGTTCTTTGCACTTGGAGGGAGACGAGAGGTATATCTTTGACGAGGTCAGAAATCTGTTCTCACTCAGCACACAGCAACCTAGTCTCCAAGTGCCCATGGGCATGTTCCACTGTGCCTCAGTGTGGATGCTGTCAGCTCCCTCCTCCCTTACTTTGATGGCTTTTCTTCCTTGGGCAACGAGCATATTACTACAGGGATAAAAACTCTCCATTGACTGATGGATTAGGTAGAAGCCTAAGCCTGGTGTGTCAAGACCGCCTAGTTCTTGTCTCATCTGCAGTTTCAAATTGTAAGTAGCCTAAGTCTCTTTCCTTGAGTCAATGGGAACTTTCTCTTTCCTCAAGTTGCGTTGCACTTTCCAACCTGGTTTGCTGATACTGTGGCTTTCTCTTCCAATTTCCTACTGCACTGTTTTTTATACTCCTTTCTTTGAAAGGCTTTACATATCCTCCCACTTATGTTCTGCAAATTCTAAACCAGTTAATTTCTTCCCCTCTTATCAGTCCTTCTGCCCTGTGTAACATGGTAGCTGGTGTTTATATATATTGCTCCTTAAAGTCCATTACTGAGGCTAACTCCTCTCTGTAGTTCATGCCACCTAAGGGCTGGGGCTGTGACAAGATATTCCCATAAGCACTTGTGGAATGCTGTTGAAATGAATATATTCATCTTAAATATTTTAAAAATATACTCACTTTGTTTAAACTTGCTTTATTATTTAGGATGTAGATTAATAACATACTATATAATATGATGCAATATTACACAATAGATAAAAAGGAGTAGACTTCAAACACATACATTTAAGAAGTAGAATAAAATAATGCAATATTTACTCATCTGCAAAAAAAAAAAAAAAGATTTTAAAAATGCATAGGCTAAGTGTGGTGGCTCAGATCTATAATTCCAGCACTTTGGGAGGACAAGGCAGGAGGATCGCTTGAGCCCAGGGGTTTGAGACTAGCCTGGGCAACATGGTGAGACCCTATCTCTACAAAAATTGTTTTTTAGAAATCCAAGTGTGGTGGCCCACATCTGTGGCACCAGAAGACTGAGGTCTGTGGTCTACTCAGGAGACTGAGGGAGGAGCATCACTTAAGCCCAAGAGCTCAAGGCTGCAGTGAGCCATGTTTGTACCACTGCACTCCAGCTTGGCCAACAGAGCGACACCTACTCTCAAAAAATAAATATATAAATACAAATTTTTAAAAATGCACAGCTTTCTAATAAATACATACATGTAAAAGTATAGAAAATTATTGACAGTGGTTGCCTGAAGTCAGGGAGGGAAAGGTAGGAGGTGATGATCTTCCATGGGGATTTTAGCTTTTTCTTTTCATAAAAAAAGAATGAAAGCAATATGCTTTTAATAATTTAGGGTAGGAAGACTTTTGGTATCTGTTACATTGTTCTTTGTACTTCTTGTATTTTTAAAGTCAAAATAAAAAAGTAGATTTCTTGTTTGAATGAATAAGAGATATCTTCTATTTCATAAACATGAAACAGACAACAAGTATTTTGTCACTTTGCTGTTCAATGGTACTTTCTCCCTGGCACTGTCACATGTGTTTATTGTTTGTCTCTGCTAGGAATGTCAGCTACATGAAAAACTCTGTTTGCTATTGTATTTTCAGTTTTTAAATCAACATCTGCCACACACTAGGCTCTCAAATATATTTTTGTTGAATAAATAAAAACTATATACCAGACAACCTGTTTATTTATCAACCTTCAATGAGATATCATCTTATACCACTCAGAATGGCTATTACTAAAAAGACAAAACAAACAAACAAACAAACAAAACCAAAACAAACAAACAGACAAAAAAAACAGAGGTTGGCAAGGATGCAGAAAAAACGGCATGCTAATACACTGTTGGTGGAAATGGAATCTCCATACTGTTTTCCATATATGGAAAGTCTGGGCTTTTAGTGTAACCATCACCCAAATAATGTACATTGTACCCATTAAGTAATTTCTCATACCTTACTCTCATCTCATCCTCTCATCTTTCTGAGTCTCCAGTGCCTATTCCATACTCTATGTATACAGAAATTCTTAAAGAAATAAAAATAGAGGCCGGGTGTGGTGGCTCACACCTGTAATCCCAGTACCGTAGGAGGCTGAGGCAGGCAGATCACCTGAGGTCGGGAGTTCGAGACCTGCCTGACCAACATGGAGAAACCCCATCTCTACTCAAAACACAAAAATTAGCGAGGCGTGGTGGTACATTCCTGTAATTCTAGCTACTTCGGAGACTGAGGCAGGAGAATTGCTTGAACCCAGGAGGCAGAGGTTGCGGTGAGCCGAGATCGTGCCATTGCACTCCAGCCTGGGCAACAAGAGCGATACTCCATCTCAAAAAAAAAAAAAAAAAAAAAATAGAACTATCATCTGATTCAGAAATCCCACTGCTGGGTGTCTACCTAAAGGAAAAGAAAGAATTATATAAAGAAGATCCCTGCACTCATATGTTTAAAGCAGTACTCTTCACAGTAGCAAAGACATGGAATAAACCTAAGTGCCCATCAGTGAATGACTGCATAAATTAATATATGTGTACCACATTTTCTTCCTCAAGTCACTCACTGGAATACAATTTGGTCATAAAAAAATGAAATCATGTCTTTTTGTGGCAACATGGATAGAATTGGAGGACATTATTGTAATTGAAACAACTCAGAAAGTCAATACTACATTTTCTCATTTAGAGGTGGAAGCTAAATAATGTGTACACATGGATAATGTGAGTAATAATAGACATCAGAGACTCAGGAGGGTGAGAGGGGGTGGGTATAAGAAATTACCTAATGGGTACAATGTACATTATTTGGGTGATGGATACACTAAAAGCCACCACTATACAAGATAGCCATGTAACAAAACTGCATTTATACCCCTTAAATTTACACATATAAAAAAAAAGATATAATCTCATTAATCTAGTACCTGGAATAAAGTTAATCTTTTTTTTTTTTTTTTTGATACGGAATCTCACTCTGTCACCCAAGCTGGAGTGCAGTGGCACAATCTCGGCTCACTGCAAGCTCCGCCTCCCGGGTTCACGCCATTCTCCTGCCTCAGCCTCCCAAGTAGCTGAAACTGCAGGTGCCTGCCACCACGCCTGGCTAATTTTTTGTATTTTTAGTAGAGACGGGGTTTTACCGTGTTAGCCAGTATGGTCTCGATCTCCTGACCTCATGATCCACCCGCCTCAGCCTCCCAAAATGCTGGGATTACAGGCGTGAGCCACCGCGCCCGGCCATAAAGTTAATCTTTAGTTACAGTTCTTCTGCGTATTTTAAGGAGATTTCTAATGCACTAGAAGTACATGGATATTTGTTGTAGAAATAGAAATGTGCATTTTTCTGCATGGGGGAAGGGGGATTGCATATGAAACCCTTAGCAAAGATACAGAATCAGAAAATAATGCTTCCAGAGCAACCACTGAAACGTCCACCCTTTTCAGAATATTGAACCTAGAAACGCTGGCAAAATTGCATGATAAAGGGCCCTCAGAGCCCAAGGTGTTTCTTTTATTGTGGTCTTGAAGTTAATCTTCACACATTTTTTTCTCTTAAAATTTCCTTATTTTTGCCCTTAAGGCTGTAATTTTCAAGTTTATTTTTTCTTATTTCTCATCCCCTTTCCCTCAACTCTAGTAAAAGTAATAATAGACCTCGGATTGGGCACACAATCTAGTCTCAAGTGCATGTGTGTGAAAAGACGCTTGTGATGAAAAGATTTTGGCACAGCCACTAACAGTCTTAGGACTGATGTCCTTTTTCTCTGGCTCCTGTAATTGTGCTACATACACAGAATCACAAAGCTCTTTGGCATTGAAGTCCTACAGAATGATATTTACATGTGCTTTCGGTCTGCTTCCACACATAGTTACGCGATACTTTGCAAATCATCTATACTAACCAAACCAAAGTGTGCCCATTTCATAAATGGCAGAAAGAACAGTCTTATCTAAGAGATTCTTTGAGGAAAAGGGCACTCTAGCCAAGCCTGTGCTTGTGTTTAACAACTGGTTCTCACGTTGAGGGGAAGCCCTGATTTGCAGTATTTGGCAATTTCTGTGGTGTAAATACTCCACCAAGTCTGTTTTCAAGCTACCAAAGTGCTGTCACTGAATGCCAAGCCAGAAGAGAGGTGCACTGTTAAGTCTTGTGAACTGATAGGAGCTGGTTCCAGTACACCACTAGCTTCCTCAATATCTAAGTAACACCCCAGATGTTCTTGCTTTTAAACTTCTCACATATTTCACTTAAGCTGGAATGCTTTTCTCTTCCCTTTGAACATCTCGTTCCTACTCATAATTCAAGATTCAGCCCTAAGGGCCAGCACATCCATAAACATTTTTTTAGAATCTTTTGCATCAAAATCAATTCTCTCTTTATCAGATTTCTAACATTTATTCCAGTTTTTCTTGTATTTATTAGCTCTTACAAGCCATGTTTGCCGTGTTCCCCCTTTTCCCAGCACACACTCTACTCCCCAGATTCCCTGCTAATACATAGCAAGATCCCTTGAACGTAGCAGTAGTTTGATCAGTCTTCACTGAATAAGTTAGTGACTAAAACTACTTTAGAAAACATTACAAAGTCTTATCATCAAGAAGTACCTTTCCCCCTGAACTGACAACACCTGAAAAACAGGAGAGTCTTTAATTGATGTTTATATTTTTAGCATTTTTGTATGGGTCAGAAGAAAGTTTAGTACTAAGCGAATTGAACCAGACCTACGGTGTTTCCAAGTGGCTGTTGCAAGTGTTGATGATGGAATGGGAGTGGAAGGGGCCCACCTAGCATGGGATTCCAGACTTACTCAAAGGATTTCAGTGCAGTCTACCTCTCCTCCATTGAGCCTGCCTGCAAAACCTGAACTTGCTGCAGTAGGTCAGATCAGTAACACCAGTGAGCCTCCATTATCACCAGATGGCAAGACAGGACTACCTGTCCTCCATACTGTAGTTTTTGAATAGAAGTAATCAGGCTTCAAGTTGGGTAGGAGGAAGGAAAACCCAATACACAGAAGTGTTAGTCCAGTGCAAAGGGCTGGAAAGGTGCAGCTGAGAGCTATAAGCCTAAAGGAGTGAGGACCAAAGTCAACATTCCCAAGAGACAGAAATGTAAAGAAGAAAACAGTGTCTGGCCTTACCGTGGATGACAACCCCTTTACTGTCTGGCATGTTCAGATGAGAAGGTCAATACTGAGAGTTTCTACTATTGACTACATGTAGAATAACACTGTGGTGTTAAAGAACATGTATTTGGGCTTTGTCCCTGGTTCTTGGCACAGAACTCATAAAACCCATGGAATTTCCTGAGTGAAAGGACTGTCTTTTGTTATTCATTATAAGCCCCTTTCCATCACACCTGATTTCATGCTATCGAAGTGTCTTGGAGTGGGCCTCCTAAATAGACTTAGGATGGTCGTCAAAAAGACCAAGTGATTACAAGGTTAGAACTTTCAGCTCCACCCAGTGATTCCAGGAAAAGAGAGGGAGCTCGAGATTAAGCTCTTTAGTTACTTTTGAATAACTAGGTTTGATGAGCATCCTGGTTAGTGAATGTCTCCATGTACTGGAGGCTGGTGCACCCCTTCTCCACAGAAACAGAAGTTCCTGTGCTTGGGATCCTTCCAGACCCTGTCCTATGTACCTCTTTATCTGAATATTCATCTTTATCTTTTATAATGTTCTTTATCATACACCAGCAAACATAAGTAAATCTTTCCCTAAGTTTTGTGAGCAGTGCTGGCAAATTATTGAACCTAGGATAGGGGTTGTGGGAACCCCCAATCGATAGCTGGGTGATCAGAAGTACAGGGGGCCTGGACTTAGCATCTGAAGTAACAGGCAGTCTTGTGGGACCAAACCCTTACCCTGTGGGATCTGTGCTAAATCCAGGTATTAGTGTCAGAATTGAATTGAATTGTGGGATGCCCAACTGGTGTCCACAGAGAATTGGAGAATTACTTGGTGTGGGGAAAAAAACACCACACATTGTGTTGGGAGTAGAGAAGCATGTTCTCTTGTAAGCATGTTTTTACAAAATGCATACATGTAAAATGTAGAAATTAAGCTTATAATTTCTTGAAAACTTCAAAGGGGACTTCAGGATGATTAGAAAGCGCATTTATTATTGCAGTCTTGGGATAAAACAATGCATGCAGGGTTACTCCGTGCCCAGTCAGGAAACTGAGACTCAGAGAGATCAGCAACTCACCAAAGGCCAGACAAGTTAGTCCCTGGCAGATCAACCCAACAGCTGTCTGAATCTAACCCCTTCCTCCTCTCCAGTATGTCATCATGCAAACTAAAGCAAAATCATGGCTCTAAAGTAATGCTTTCCTTTTTTCCTTTGTAGCTTGCAAAAATCTGAAAGTAATTCCAAAATTGTAAGCACCTAACCTCCAAATGCAAATGCTTTGAGAATAACACCCCTGTGAAAGCTGAAGCTCTTAAACTAATTAAGATACAGAAAAGTCTGATACAGCCAAGTCTTTCATATTTTAAAAGTGTTGCTATTTCAGCTAAGATTAATAAATTTAGGTAAGTTTTCCTTGTTAGAGCTCATTCCATGTCTAGAACTCACCAAACTCTCTGCTACATCTGAACGGGCTGCATGGTAGATGTATACTTAAGATAGAAGTCAATAATTTTTTTTTATTTTTAAATTCACACCAACGAGCTTTTGTTTTTATTCTTTATGATGTCCACAATGCACCTGGGATATTCCTTTCACTTCCTTTGAAATGATGCCAGGTAAAAATGTTATCTCTTGAGGACAAGCTTTTACTCCAAGACTTTCTATTTCTTTTGTTTGTATCTTTGCTGTTTTTTAAAATTTTCAGATCTAGTAATAATATCCAGTTATCTCATGCCATTTTTGAGAGATAACTAAAAGATTTTACAGTACCCTTCTACATAATACAAATATTAGAGAGCCAAAATTTGGCATGAAAGCAGAACAGCTAGTTAGGTGGTTTATGTCAATGAAAGTATAAAATTTAACTGCCTTAGAACCTTCCATTTCTCTTTAAGGCTGAGAGCTATTGTGAATTTTCTCGGTGTAATCTAAGCCATTTGCATTTTCCAGTCTTACTAGCTGCGATGAACTACTCAAGGTTATAATACTCTGTTTTTCATCACACCAGTGCCCACTTGAATCTTACTCAAAAGCTGATCAAGGCAGATCTCATCTACATACAATGGAAAGCAAAACTCAAATACAATGTCTCAAGAAAACTCAATGTAAATGCAAAATCAATGGGGAAATCCGCTTCTTACAAAAACAAATGAACAAACAACAGCAACAAAAACACACTTCCCCCTTTTCTTCCCTAAATAGAAGAGATAAACCAGTATTCAAAGAAAAAGCTGCCTCCTACTCAAATCTGCTATATATGGGGTCAATGCTAATGAATATACTTTTTAGAGTAGTCTATCAAGCAACTTCCTCAAGCAAATTGTTTTTCTATTTTTTCTCCTTCCTTCCCTCCCTCCTTCCCTCCCTCCCTCCCTCCCTCCCTCCCTTCCTTCCTTCCTTCTTTCCTTCTTTCCTTCTTTCCTTTCTTCCTTCTCTCTTTCTCTCTTTCTTTCTTAAATGGGATCTCACTCTGTCACACAGTGGTACAATGATAGCTCACTGCAGCCTCAAACTCTTGGGCTCAAGTGATCCTCCCACCTCAGTCTCCCAACTAACTGGAATTATAGGCTGGAGCCACCACATCTGACTCTACACACTAATTTTTTTTTTTTTTTTTTGAGACGGAGTCTGACTCTGTCGCCCAGGCTGGAGTACGGTGGCGCAATCTCGGTTCACCGCAAGCTCCGCCTCCCAGGTTCATGCCATTCTCCTGCCTCAGCCTCCCTAGTAGCTGGGACTACAGGCTCCTGCCACCAGGCCCAGCTAATGTTTTGTATTTTTTAGTAGAGACGGGGTTTCACCGTGTTAGCCAGGATGGTCTCGATCTCCTGACCTCATGATCCACCCGCCTTGGCCTCCCAGAATGCTGGGATTACAGGCGTGAGCCATCACACCCAGCCTCTACACACTAACTTTTAATGGGCTTGACCACTTAACTAGTTCACTGCCTCTAACTGTACATTCAAGTTCCAGGAATTGATATTGATGCAGCCCAAGGGGGTCTGGTGATGCTCATCTGTTTTGGCTGTATAACACATTTTCCCCATACCACAGCCCAAACAGACACAGTAAATCCTAATAAATCCTTGAGCAAATGGCTTCCTGGGAAACACACAATACACTATGTCATTATGACTTAATTCCTTATATGGATTTCATATGGACTCCTTCCATCTTCACTCCTTTCCTCTGATATGATCAAAAAAGCATAGACTTTTGAAGAGGAAGAAAAAAAAAACCAAAATACTGTTCTTGACTATTAATTTCTTCTGCATTATTTTCTCTGTTTTGGCACAGCAAGGGCCAAAAGTTGTAAGGTACTCTATACTTGTCAGGACAAACAAGATGGAAATGTTGGTCATTTTATCCTGGCAAGGAGGGCTTCTTCTTCTCCTCTTTGCCTACAAGTTCTTGGCACTCATGACCCCATTTGTTTTTCTGCCTCCCTCTTGATGGGAGAGAGGGTAGGTAAATAATTTCCAAATGGTTAGATCCAGTTTCAACTTCACAAGGAGAAAATAGTGTGGAATGTGGGCCATGGCACAGACTGGTCCTTTCAATCCTATTTTCTTCTATCTCCAAATAACCAATCAGTTCCTAAGCAGTGGACATTCTTTCTGTAGGGGGATTGGGAGCTTGGGACCATAATTAGCTGATGAGTAGGATTTTAGAAAATATAGTTTCAGGAGGAAAGGAAAAATTTTAGAAGAGCAAAAATCATGTGGGCTGGTTTTAATGAGCATTGCGAAGGATGGCCAATTACCATCAACTTCATATTTCCCAAATATTCCCTAATTTCTTCAACCCATCTTTTCTCAAAGAACCAGGGAGAATGTAAGCATGGTATTTTCTGACTTAACCATGAAAATTTCCTTCTGATGGTCAGTGATGAAGCATCCCAGTACACCTGTGGAAACTAGGTCAACAGCTTGAAAATGTGGCAGGTAGAAAATCTTCTTGTCTGAACCTTCTGAACTTAAGCATTCAATCTTTCTTAAATTACAACCAAACACTGAGACTATGTCAAATGGTCTGGAGACATTGATTTTTCTCCCTTTTTTGAAGCTTTTTAACTATAGAACATTCTTCTTTTCTCTTGGCATTAAAGTTTCCTTCAGATATTTATAAAACACACTAATTTGAGAGGTTTGGATAGGTGGCCATTTTCAATTTCTGACTGAACAATCTAACTTTCCTCAAAGGAAAATAGTTTAAGGAAAGCTCTTCCTCAAAAATCTTATTAGGGCTAGGTGCAACGTCTCATGCCTGTAATCCCAGCACTTTGGGAGACCAAGGCTTGAGACCAGGAGTTCAAGACCAGACTGGGTAACATAGCAAGACCTCATCTCTACAAAATATTGAAAAACTAGCTGGGTGTGATGGCCCAAACCCATAGTCGCAACTAGGTGGGAGGCTGAGGTGGGATGATTGCCTCAACCCAGGAGATTAAGGTTGCAGTGAGCTATGATTGTGCCATTGCACTCCAGCCTGAGCAACAGAGTGAGACTTTATCTCTAAAAATAAAAATAAAAAAATTAAATTAAAATTGAAGATTTTTTTTTCATTTTCAAGTAAAAAAAAATATTAAGAACATCATGAGCAAAAAATATTTCCTGAGTGCCATATTTGTACACAGCATATTGTTTTTAGTTTTGGGGAAAAAATCTTAAGACAGCAATTGTCTTTGCCCAGAGCAAGTTTAATTTTTAAAAACAACATTTTTATTTCCATAGGTTATTGGGGAACAGGTGGTGTTTGGTTACATGAGTAAGTTCTTTACTGGTGATTTGTGAGATTTTGGTACACCCATCACCCGAGCAGTATACACTGCACCATATTTTTAGTCTTCTATCCCTTGCCCCCCTCCCACTCTTCCCCCGAATTCCCCAAAGCCCATTGCATCATTCTTATGCCTTTGCATCCTCACAGCCTAGCTCGCACATATGAGTGAGAACGTATGATGTTTGGTTTTCCATTTCTGAGTTACTTCACTTAAAATAATAGTCTCCAATCTCATCCAGGTCACCGCAAACGCTGTTAATTCATTCCTTTTTATGGCTGCATAGTATTCCATCGTATATGTGTGTATGTGTGTGTGAGTGTGTGTGTGTGTGTGTATATATATATATATATACACACACACACCACAGTATATATATATATATATATATATATATATATACACACACACACCACAGTTTCTTTATCCACTTGTTGATGGATGGGCATTTGGGTTGGTTCCATGATTTTGCAATTGTGAAGTATGCTGCTATAAACATGCATGTTTAAGTATCTTTTTCGAATCATGACTTCTTTTCCTCTAGGTAGATACCCAGTAGTGGGATTGCTGGATCAAATGGTAGTTCTACTTTTAGTTCTTTAAGGAACCTCCACACTGTTTTCCATGGCGGCTGTGCTAGTTTACATTCCCACCAGCAGTGTAGAAGTATTCCCGTTCACCACATCCACACCACCATCTACTGTTTTTTTTATTTTTTGATTATGGCCATTCTTGCAGGAATAAGGTGGTATTGCATTGTGGTTTTGATTTGCATTTCCCTGATCATTAGTGACAGTGAGCCTTTTTTTCATATGTTTGTTAGCCATTTATATATCTTCTTTTGAGAATTATCTATTCATGTCTTTAACCCACTTTTTGATGAGATTGTTTGTTTTTTTCTTACAGATTTGTTTGAGTTCATTGTAGATTCTGGATGTTAGTCCTTTGTCAGATGTATAGATAGTGAAGATTTTCTCCCACTCTGTGGATTGTCTGTTTACTCTGCTGATTGTTCCTTTTGCCGTGCAAAAACTCTTTAGTTTAATTAGGTCCCAGCTATTTATCTTTGTTTTTATTGAATTGCTTTTGGGTTCTTGGTTATGAAATCCTTGCCTAAGCTAATGTCTAGAAGGGGTTTTCCAATGTTGTCTTATAGAATTTTTAGTTTCAGGTCTTAGGTTTAAGTTCTTAATCCATCTTGAGTTGATTTTTATGTAAGGTGAGAGATGAGGATCCAGTTTTATTCTCCTACATGTGGCTAGCCAATTATCCCAGCACCATTTGTTGAAAAGGGCGTCCCTTCCCCACTTCATGTTTTTGTTTGCTTTGTCAAAGATCAGTTGGCTGTAAGTATTTGGTTCAATTTCTGGCTTTTCTATTCTGTTCCATTGGTCTATGTGCCTATTTTTATGCCAGTACCATGCTGTTTTGGTGACTATGGCCTTATTGTATAGTTTGAAATCAGGTAGTGTGATGTCTCCAGTTTTGTTCTTTTTGTTTAGTGTTGCTTTGGCTATGTGGGCTCTTTTTTGGTTCCATATGAATTTTAGAATTGTTTTTTCTAATTCTATGAAGAATGATGGTGGTATTTTGATGGGGATTATATTGAATTTGTAGATTCCTTTTGGCAGTATGGTCATTTTTCATAATATTGATTCTACCCATCCATGAACATTTGATGTGTTTCCATTTGTTTGTGTGATCTATGATTTATTTCAGCAGTATTTTGTAGTTTTCCTTGTAGAGGTCTTTCAACTCCTTGGTTAGGTATATTCCTAAGTTTTTTTTTTCTTTTTTTTGCAGCTATTGTAAAAAGGGTTGAGTTCTTGATTTGATTCTCCACTTGGTTGCTGTTGGTATATAGAAGAGCTACTAATTTGTGTACATTAATCTTACATCTGGAAACTTTGCTGAATTCTTTTATCAGTTCTAAGAGCTTTCTGGAGGAGGTCTTAGGGTTTTCAATTTAAACAATCGTATCATCAGCAAACAGTGACAGTTCAACTTCCTCTTTACCAATTTGGATGCCCTTCATTTCTTTCTCTTGTCTGATTGTTCTGGCTAGGAATTCCAATACTATGTTGAAGAGGGGTCATGAGAGTGGGTATCCTTGTCTTGTTCCAGTTCTCAGAGGGAATGCTTTCAACTTTTCCCAATTCAGTATTATGTTGGCTGGGAGTTTGTCATTGATGGCTTTTATTACATTAAGATATGTCCCTTGTATGCCAATTTTGCTGAGAGTTTAATCATAAGGCAATGCTGGATTTTGTCAAATGCTTTTTCTGCATCTATTGAAATGATCATGTGATTTTTGTTTTTAATTCTGTTTATGAGGTGTATCACATGGACTTGTGTATGTTAAACCATCCCTGCATCCCTGGTATGAAACCCACTTTATCATGGTGGAATATCTTCTTGATATGTTGTTGGATTCAGTTAGCAAGTATTTTGTCAAGGATTTTAGCATCTATGTGCATCAAGGATATCAGTCTGTAGTTTTCTTTTTTGGTTACGCCCTTTCCTGGTTTTGGTATTAGGGTGATGCTGGCTTCATAGAATGAATTAGGGAGGGTTTCTTCTTTCTCTATCTTGTGGAATAGTGTCACAAGAATAGGTACCAATTCTTCTTTGAACGTCTCGTAGGATTCTGGTGTGAATCCATCTGGTCCTGAACTTTTTTTTCATGGTAATTTTTAAATTATAATTTCAGTCTTGCTGCTCGTTATTGATCTGTTCAGTCTTGCTGTTGTTATTGGTCTGTTCAGTCTCACTGCTTGTTATTGCTCTGTTCAGGGTATCTAATTCTTCCTGGTTTAAGCTAGGAGGGTTATATTTTTCCAGGAATTTATCCATCTCTTTTAGGTTTTCTAGTTTATGTGCATAAAGGTGTTCATAGTAGCCTTGAATGATCTCTTGTATTTCAGTGCTGTCAGTTGTAATATCTCCTGTTTTATTTCTCAGTGAGGTTATTTGGATTTTGTCTCTTTTTTTCTTGGTTAGTCTTGCCAACGGTCTATCAGTTTTACTTACTTTTCAAGGAACCAGCTTTTTGTTTCATTTATTTTTTGTTTGTTTGTTTGTTTCAATTTCATTTAAATCTGCTCTGATCTTGGTTATTTCCTCTCTTCTGCTTGATTTGGGTTGGATTTGTTCTTGTTCTTCTAGCTCCTTGAGGTGTGACCTTAGATTGTCTGTTTGTGCTCTTTCAGTCTTTCTGATGTAGGTATTTAGGGCTATGGAATTTCCTCTTAGCATCGCCTTTGCTGTATCACAGAGATTTTGGTAGGTTGTGTCATTACTGTCATTCAGTTCAAAGAATTTTTAAATTTCCATCTTGATTTTGTTTTTGACCCAATGCTCATTCAGGAGCAGATTATTTAATTTCCATGTATATGCATGGTTTTGAAGGTTCCTTTTGGAGTTGATTTTCAGTTTTATTCCACTGTGGTCTGAGAGAGAATGGCCTGTCATATGGTCTATCTTGGAGAAAGTTCCATGCATTGTTAAATAGAACGTGTATTCTGTGGTTCTTGGATGAATGTTCTGTATACATCTGTTAAGTTCATTTGTTCCAAGGTATAGTTTAAATCCATTGTTTCTTTGTTCACTTTTTGTCTTGATGACCTGTCTAGTGCAGTTGGTGGAGTATTGAAGTCCCTGACTATTACTGTGTTGCTGTCTATCTCATTTCTATCTCATTTCTGTCTATCTCATTACTAAAACAATTAGTAATTGTTTTATAAATGTGGGAGCTCCAGTGTGTTAGGTGCATATATGTTTAGAATTGTGAAATTTTCCTGTTGGACAAGGCCTTTTACCATTATATAATGTCCCTCGTTGTCTCTTTTAACTGCTGTTGCTTTAAAGTTTGTTTTGTCTGATATAAAAATAGCTCGCTTTTGGTGTTCATTTGCACAAAATGCCTTTTCCATCCCTTTAAGTTTATGTGAGTCCTTATGTGCTAGGTGAGTTTCCTGAAGGCAGCAAATGGTTAGTTTGTGAGTTCTTATCCATTCTGTGGTTCTGTATCTTTTAAGTGGAGCATTTAAGCCATTTACATTCAATGTTACTATTGAAATGTGAGGTACCATTGCATTCATCATGCTCTTTGTTGCCTGTGTGCTTTGTTTTTTTTTGTTTTTTGTTTTTGCTTTTTAACTGGTATTTTTGTTTTATAGGTCCTGTGTGATTTATGCTTTAAAGAGGTTCTGTTTGGATGTGTTTCCAGGATTTGTTTCAAGATTTAGAGCTCCTTTTAGCAGTTCTTGTAGTGGTGGCTTGGTAATGGCAAATTCTCCCAGCATTTGTTTGTCTGAAAAAGACTGTATCTTTCCTTCATATATGATGCTTAGTTTCATTGTATACAAAATGTTTGCCTGATAATTGTTTTGTTTGAGGAGGCTGAAGATAGGGCCCCAATCCCTTCCAGCTTGTAGGGTTTCTGCTGAGAAATCTGCTGTTAATATGATAGGTTTTCCTTTATAGGTTACCTGGTGCTTCTGTCTCACAGCTCTTAAGATTCTTTCCTTCATCTTAACTTTGGATAACCCAATGACAATGTGCCTAGGCAAAGATCTTTTTGCTATGAATTTCTCGGGTGTTCTTTGTGCTTCTTGTATTTAAATGTCTAGGTTTCTAGCAAGGCTGGGGAAGTTTTCCTCTATTATTCCCCCAAATATGTTTTCCAAGCTTTTAGAATTCTCTTCTTCCTCAGGAACACAGATTATTCTTAGTTTGGGTTGTTTCACGTAATCCCAGACGTCTTGGAGGCTTTGTTCATATTTTCTTACTCTTTTTTCTTTGCCTTTGTTGGATTGGGCTAATTCGAAGATCGTGTCTTTGAGCTCTGAATTTCTTTGTTCTACTTGTACAATTCTATTGCTGAGACTTTCCAGAGCATTTCACATTTCCAAAAGCGCCTCCAAAGTTTCCTAAATTCTTTATTTTTTTTTCTTTAGGCTATCTATTTCCTTGAATATTTCTCCCTTCACTTCTGGTATCATATTTTGGATTTCCTTGCATTTGGCTTTGTCTTTCTCTAGTCCCTCCCTGATTAGCTTAATAACTAACCTCTTGAATTCTCTGTCAATCAGGAATTTCTTCTTGGTTTGGATCCATTGCTGGTGAACTAGTGTGATTTTTTGGTGGTGTAGAAGAGCCTTGTTTTGTCATATTACCAGGGTTGGGTTTCTGGTTCCTTTTGATTTGGGTATGCTCTGTCAGAGGGAAGGTCTAGGGCTGAAGTCTGTTGTTCAGATTCTTTTGTCCCATGGGGTGTTCCTTTGATGTATTACTTTCCCCCTTTTCCTATGGATGTGGCTTCCTGTGAGCCAAAATGTAGTGATTGCTCTCTCTCTTCTGGGTCTAGCCACCCAACAAATCTACCTGGCTCCAGGCTGGTACTGGGGGTTGTCTGCACAGAGTCCTGTGATGTGAACCGTCTATGGGTCTCTCAGCCATGGAACCAGTGCCTGTTCCGGTGGAGGTGGCGGGGGTGCAGGACTCAGTGAGAGTTCTTAGCTTTGGTGGTTTAATGCTCTATTTTTGTGTTGGTTGGCCTCCTGCCAGGAGGTGGCGCTTTCCAGAAAGAATCAGCTGTAAGTAGCATGGAGAGGGACCAGTGGTTGGGCGGGGCCCTAGAACTCCCAAGATTATATGCCCTTTGTCTTCCGCTATCAGGGTGGATAGGGAAGGATCATCAGGTGGGGGTGAGTCTAGGCGTGTCTGAGTTCAGACTCTCTGGGGTGGGTCTTGCTGCTGTGGGAGATGGGAGTTGTATACTGGAGTTGTATACCTAGGAGGATTATGCAGCTGCTTTTGCTGAGTCATGCAGGTTGTCAGGGAAGTGGGGGAAAGCTGGCAGTCATAGGCCTCACCCAGCTCTGGACGCAAACCAAAGGGCTGGTCTCACTTCCACTGTGTCTGCCCCAACAGCCCCCAGACCTTTCCCAGGCAGAGAGCAATATGGGCTTGAAAACCTGCCCCAGGCTATCCGCCTCCCAGCTGCTAAAGTAAAGGGCTTGGTTTTCCCCTGCCTGTGGAGTCTGTATCCCCAATTCGTGCCCTCCCCCAAGTTCTGTCCAGGAGGCTTCTCACCCCGTTCAAATTTTTACAAAGTTCATCTAGAGATTTGCTTCTCCCCGTGTAGTTTTAGCCCCTGGTCCTCTCTCGTTGGATCCCTGTGGTGCCAAGCAGGAATGGCCTGCTCCAGAACCCAGCGGGCTCCCAGGGCCTTGCTGCTGCTTCCTCTACCTCTGTATTTCCCTTGGCTCTCCTAATTGACTCAGCTCCAGGTAAAGTCAGAAATTTCTCAGGCAAACAGAACTTCAGCTTCTCCAGTTAGGGGGGTGTGTTCAGGAGAGGAGGGTCTCCTTTTCCCGCTTCCGCAGTTGGGGCGCTCACAGTATTTGCGGTGTCTCCCAGGTCCTGCAGGAGCAGTCCACTTCCGTCAGAGGGTCTGTGTGTCCTCTTGGGATTGTTAGTTTGCTCTTGTAGTCAATCTGGAGCTAAAATTCACAATGCGAGCCGCTGCCGGCTGCTCTGTCTAGAGGTGCATTCTAGTCCTGGCTCCCGTTCACGGTGATTGACTTTTTTGGGGGGAGTTTAATTCTAGTTATGAATTAGTGCATGAAACATGAAAGCAACAAGGTCAAGGTCTTATTGATTTTTCATAGTCAGAATGGAACGTGAGTCAGGAAGGAGGATTTATGTAGAAATATTGAAGAAAAGTTTGCACTAGCTGTGCAGCTCTGAATGGAATGAAATAAAGACTCGATTCTTATGTTCTATGGAATATGGATAACTGAATTTATAAGTGTAATAGCCATTAGCCTTATAAATTGTCATTATCCTGATAAATGTATTAAGTCTCTGCTTTAAAAAAATACGTTTTTCCTTCTAATTTAAATAATATAATTTCATGTAATTCAAATAATATATAATCAGTTTTTTAATACTATGTAATACAGTAGGTGTATTTTATTTTCCTGACTATTCAAATATGATGCCTTTGGGTTTATATTTCTAAAAGGTAAATTGAGCATTTATTTCAGTCACTTGTTGCCTAGCACAGTGTTGCGTAGGGCAAAGGTTGTTCATTTTTTTAGTAGCAGTGAGAAAGAATTGCCCTGCATCAAAGGACTGTTGTGAAGCTATGGAAAGCAATATTTGCAGAGATTTTTGAGTTTCTTGGAGAGAGGTGTTATCTGAATCAAAACCTGTGAAAAGAAGAATAGCTATAACATTTCCTGACAATGATAAACTACTGTGTTGTAAAATAGTTTCTAAAGGGAAGAGTGCCCTAGACATTATTTGTCAAATTTGGAAGAACAAGACAAATCAAGGTTCTAGAAACCACTGGAAATAATATAATCTCCAGTAGGGTAGAGAAAATAATTTACTACTAATTTTCATGACCCTATCTTATAAGAATAGAAGAGTGATACTAAGAGACACTTAATAGAGCTAAATCTTACACTTCAGTGGAGAACTGAATTATTGGAGTAGTTTCCAGCCAAGATAGATAATTTTACTATGGTATAGTTTCCCTATACTAGGGATTTAAGAAGAAAGAGTTATACAAAGTTCAAAGGCCCAGGACCTCTGCACCTCAGAGATGGACAGAAACAGAAGGGGGAAAAAGAGTGAGAAAGTATGATTTAGCAGATCAAGATACCAAAGAAATACGACACAGAGAAATGAAATAAGTCTTATGGGTCTCTACCACTAAGTTATACTGTTAAATAAAACCAATCAGTAAAATCTGTAATAATGATTGTCATTAGAATTCTGAAATTAGGCATTCAGTATTTAAGGAAACACCAATGTATTTAATAATTCACTTTTTCCACACTTGCTGTGTACTTTTATAAGTTATTTTTCTCGTATACATGCTAATATTTTTCCACAATTTAAATGACAATAGATCATTCCCACTTCCCCATGATATGATGTATGCTCCCCAGGATTATTTTTTTCCTAATACTTTTTAAACCAGAATAATTAATGTGATACTACTTTGGTAATGAATTTACAAAAATTCCATACAAATACTACATGTGCTAATACAATGAAATACCATAGAAATAATATGCATAATGCATTAGGTTTTGTTACAGATGCCTGCCAAAAATAATGTTTGGCAAACAGTAGCATGCTTAAAAAGTGCCTAACCGATTAAAATTTATTACTGCTGATAGACCCAGGGCAAACACTGAACAATCTATGCTATTCATGCCTTGGCAGACACATCAGTTCACTGACTGCTCAGATTATCTCTGAAAGCTTCTGGACATCACTGAAATTGAGGAAGTCACTTAATGAGATGTTTAATGCTGAAGAGAGTGACTCCTCCCAACAAAGATATCCTCCATATACTCCTATTGCATCTCCCTGAATGTCATGTCTGGCAAAGGAGTGCTACGCCATCCACCTGCCATGAGCAGGGTTGCTGTGTGTCCCTCCATAGCTCAGTCTGTCCTTTCACAGACAATTCCTCCTGAGAATCAGGGGCTGTGCTAGCGTTACAGCACTCTCTTATCTCTCTCCTGTTCTCAGTTTGGTGTTACCTAGTGCCTTATATGTTTTCAGTGTCATTGACTTATTGTTTTATGCTTATACCTTCTAACATATCTGGCACTCCTGTCTCTGTTACAGTGTTTGGAGGAGAGTCAGAGGCTATTCCATTCTCAGGAGTCATGTGGGAAAACAGCCAAACTCTAGGTTGGGCTAAACCTAGACTTCTTCTTTAGAAACTACAATTTGACAGTGAAACCACTGAATATTGTTGCAAATTGAGGTTCATTTGATTTTTTAAAAATCAAAAGTTCATCAATTTTCTTGGAATCTTTGGCATTGTGGGGTCTTTGAATTAATTTAATTTAGCCTCCATCATTGTATAGATGGGCAGAATTAAAGTGCATAAAGGGGAATTGATTTGACTGAGGCTACACAACTAATTAGGGCAGAGGTAAGGTGACAACTCCTTATTTTCAGCCCAGGATCTGCCAACAATGGCACTGGCTTTCCTCCAGAAAGAAATAAAAAGAAGAACTTGGGCATCTTCAGTGCCAGCGTACCTCCTACTGCCACAACCAGCCCTCTTGCCAATTGTTGCTGGTTATTCCTGCAAAGGACCAGAAGAGAAAATCATCTAGATTTTGAGGATAAACAGAATGAATGGATCCTGCTGATGAGCCCCAAATAAGATAAGCTCTCAAAATGTGTTTAGATAGACAGACCTTCAATTGAAGGACAGGACAGGACAGGACAGGACAGGACAGGACAGGACAGGAAAGGAAAGGAAGAAAGAGAAAGAATGAACAAACTGAGGATGACATGAAATTTTAGGTCTTTATGTCCAGAATGCTTTTCATTGATTTATTTATTTATTTTTACTGACAGAAAGGTTACTAATTTCTAATTATTTGAAAAATTAAAATTATCCCTGGGGAACAGCCTGGTCAGAAATAAAGAAAACTCCACAGTTTGCAAACCGTTCCTGAAAGTGAAATTGAAATTCATCTCAGTTAAACTTTAGAAATGAAAAGGGCAATAGAAAGCATTAAGTTTAGCAGGGATGCAAGGAGAAGTGCAATCAATCAGATGCTTTTAGAAATATAAACAACCTAGTAAAGAAGATCAAGCAATCTATAAAAATAAGCAGAAAACAGTTATAAGGATCATTAGCAGAAGAACAAATAGGAGCGTGAAACCACAGGAATGCTCATGATCAGAATGCAGAAATTTGAAGTCATGAGAAGGCAGGATATATCCATTAAGAAGGATAACAGGAGAAAAGAGCAACCAAGAATGAAATGACTAGTGAGTCCAGTTTTAGTTGACCTTAAATTTACTCAGCTACCTGCGTGGAACAGGAATTTTGACTTTGAATTGTTGGATGTCAAGGTGTTTCCCAAATGGCAAAACAGAAATTTTGCTGGTATCCCAGTGGGGACCAGATTCTCTCTGGTGCTTTATTACGCATGCAAGTCAAATTTCACTAAATTATCCAGTGGGCTATGTACATGTTGAACATTGGGATCATTTATTCAACAGATTTTTTAATTGCTTACTATGTGCCAAGTATTGTGTTAACAACTGAGGATAGAACAATGAGCAAAAATTGACATAGTCCCTATTTCCTTGGAACTTACGCTGTAGTTGAAGAAATAGGAATGAATTATTCATTATTATACTTCATTCCTAACTCATTCATTCATAATATTTATGAATATTTACTTACCAATTGAGTAATTTATTCTCAAAGGAACAGAGCTCTAGAACAAGGATTGATAATTGCTAGCAGAAACTAGGAATTTGGGGAAGTTCTCTGAAGGAATGATGCTGAAGTTGACATCAGAAAGATGAATGGGAGTCACTTGGAAGAGGTTGTGAAGGAGATTTTTCCAGGGGAAATTGTACATGCGAAGGCTTTGGATTGGAGAGAAAGACTCTGGAAGGAGACAGGGCCTAATCAGAGCTGGAGCAGAGGCTGTTTTTCTTTACCTTAATGCCACTGTCACAAGACTGCGCTTTCCAAAGTGGGATAATTTAGGACAATTTAAGAAGCCTCTAAAATGAACTCGACCTCCTTGAGTCCTTGAGTCCTTCATTTGGCCAATCAATATAGTCAGACATTTTCCCAATTGAGGTGAGAAGATCAGCAAATTTCAAAGCATAAATTAATTTGCATTGAGTTAAAAAACAAGTCAACCACCCTACCTCTTTTCCAGACCAATGCGACAAAATTTGTAAAACCTGGCCTGAGACTGAAAGCCACAGCACAGACAAGCCCAGCACACCAAGCTCCAGGGAAGCCTTCCGATTCCGAGGAAGACATCAAACTGAGATTGGGAAAATGGGTAGGCCCAAAATAAGATTAGCATTTTCCCCCCAGTTAAGATTCTTTAAATTAGCAAGGCTGGGTGAAGAAAAGGACAGTACCTTACTAGAGTATAAATTAGTTGGAAGCTAAGAAAGAACCACTGGCAGTGCAAGGTGATGCGTTTTCCTAGAAACTATCAATTTTGGAGACCTCCTATTGAAATATCCCATTTTATTTCCATTTACTCATGCATCTTTCCTCTAAGCTTTTTCTGTTTTTTATTTTTTTTTCTTTCTCTCTCTTTTTATTAGTCAAGCCTGCGGCTATCATGTTGGCATGGGGAATGTTTAACATAAACATGCAATTAAATAACAACTACACATTAGCAACCATAAATGACAGGTAGAAAAAAGTGTCCCAAACATGAATGGATTTATTTTTAAAGGATTTTATTAGAAAAAGTATAATGCTCACTTGCTCCCCTCCGGCCAAAACTTGTGTAGAAAAGTAGGCCTCCGAATAGGTGCTGATGGCTGATGACCTAAGATGCTAGAGGTGCCAGGAGAAAAGTTTTGCTGTGAGAGTCTATTCCCCAGGGTGCAGCACTGGGATTGATTGAAAATGGACAGCTAGCCATGGCATACTAAGGGCATAGTACTCGAGGTGTGTATTTCTAGAATATTGGTAAGAGGATTCCTCTCAAAGGGCACCTGGAACACTACATAAACAACAGCTTTTTAAAGTCATGTGTGGATGACTTGCTGTGTACAAGGTAGTAGGCCCACATGAATCAAAGGAGTAATGTTTAAGTGTAACCTCTTGCAATATCATCATCTTCTGATCCAAGTCTTAGCTTCTCATTGCTTCTTTCTAGAGATATGATAAGAATTAACTAAGCAGGTGAAAGTGCAAGTGTTCTGCAAGATTTGTAAAAAAAAAAAAATCTCACCGTCATAAAGGTCTGTCCAGAAGCTAGTAAACATCACCTTTGTTTGGGCTAAGCAGCTTTGCATGGGACTTCATTTCTTGGATTTCTGGCATTTACCATGTATCTTACTATGTGCCAGGCACTATGCTTCTTAAATTTATAAGCATTATCTTAACTAAAATTCCTATCAATACTATTGTTATTCCTACTTACGAATAAGGAAACAGACACTCAGTAAAATGAAGTCAGATGCTTAAGATAGCATAGCTCAGAATCTAATTAAAAAGACTGAGCTTTTTCTTCATAATACCTCACATTTAGATCATTCAGGCTGTAAGGAATTCGATCCCCAGAATTCATAGCCCTTCTCTGTCTCACTGTGTAAGCATTTTATAGGATGAACCCCTGGAGTTCCCAAACACTCACTATATATCTTCTTTCAATCACGACTGACACATTTCTAACAGATTTCTAAAGGTATATTTGGATAGGAATGTTGTTTTTATTCTTGCAAAGGTTTTATTAAAGTATCCTTTCTTACTTTTTTTCTTTTAGATGGAGTCTTGCTCTGTTGCCCAGGCTGGAGTGCAGTGGCATGATCTCAGCTCAACCTCTACTTCCTGGGTTCTCCTGCCTCAACCTCCTGAGTAGCTGGGATTATAGGTGCCTGCCACCATGTCTGGCTAATTTTTTTTTTTTTTTTTTTTTTTTTTTGAGACGGAGTCTTGCTCTGTCGCCCAGGCTGGAGTGCAGTGGCGCCATCTCCGCTCACTGCAAGCTCCGCCTCCCGGTTTCACGCCATTCTCCTGCCTCAGCCTCCCGAGCAGCTGGGACTACAGGTACCCGCCAGCACGCCCAGCTAATTTTTTGTGTTTTTAGTAGAGACGGGGTTTCACTGTGTTAGTCAGGATGGTCTCGATCGCCTGACCTCGTGATCTGCCCGCCTCGGCCTCCCAAAGTGCTGGGATTACAGGCGTGAGCCACCGCGCCCGGACTAATTTTTGTATTTTTATTAGAGACAGGGTTTCACCATATTGGGCAGGCTGGTCTCAAACTCCTGACCTCAGGTGATCTACCCGCTTCAGCCTCCCAAAGTTCTAGGCTTATAAGCATGAGCCACCATGCTCGGCCCTCTCTTACTTGTTAAATTAGAAATATTTTACATGTGGTCTCCTCTCACAACACTTGCTAGTTGCTCCCCCTAATCCACCCTCCAGTATCTGAGTAAGGTTCTAACTAACTAAGACTTAGTAATGCCCACATTTCCATAGGGATCTAGTCATTGTTTTCTCAGCTTAAAAAATGAAAAAATACCAGCAGCAGTGTCAGAAACTTGTTTGGCCAAACCAAAAGAGGTGGAGGTGGGTGGGTAGAAGTTTTTGTCTTTTGTAATAAAGAATTATGCAACAGATATAAAGTTCATCATTATAAGAAAAGAGCCAGAAGAAAATAAAAACACTGAACCTAACATACGGATGGGCAAATGGTAGATTATTTATTGCTCTTCCGTGAGATTCTTGAAAAGCCTGATTAATTCAAATTTCTTCCAGTTCTTGAAAAGACAGAATAATTTTGAAAGTGAGTAGACATTCCCCTAGATCTCCTCTGTCTCATAGTAATATCCTCACGGCTGCACCAATTTAAATCTACTATTTCAGCCATGCACCGCTAAGAAAATGGCTTCAGAGAGTGTAACAAATCCTTTCCCAGCATTTGGGTGGTCAAAGATTGCCGGTGTGTCATCATTGGTACACAACAAGCACCTGGCAACAAGTTTGCACAGATGCCCAACTTAGGTTAATGTTAATAACACTTGCAGCTTCAGGGACGTGATGTGGTGAAGTGACTCTGAATCTGAGACAGAAGTTCTAGCTCAGGCCAGCTCTTCCAAAGAATAACACCAGCAGGAGTCCATTATACACTAGGGTTGCCTCCCTACTCATGCTGCTACCTGCAAAACTGCCAGGACACTTCCTTTCCTTGCAGGCCTCTGTTCTCCCAGGGCTCTGGAGCTTCCATTTATGAATTGGAGGTAGGGGTGTGGGTAGGGAGTGGTTATAACTTGGAAGAAAGCCACATTCACTGCCTATAATTGACCTACAAGCCCAGAGTTATTAACAGAAATCTGTGGAATTAAATGACTGGATGAATGGCTGTACACACAGATGAAGGCAAGTTTGTAACAGGCACATATTTGCAGCCAGCTGCCAAGTTTATTGAAAAACAAATACTATATATCAGAATATACCCAGGAAAGCAATGACATGTTTAAAATAACACTTTGCATACAGTGAAAGACACATTGGATGCTAAGTCTCTTGGATGTGAGTGGTTTGCAGAATCTTTTCTTGACAATGGTCATAATTATGTTTGAAAATTTAATCATAACAGAATGTTTCCAAGTATGATAAATTTTCTATGAGAAAAAGGCAAACAGTTTTGAAGATTCTGCTCTTTGATGAAAAAAAAGTCTTTCAAGGTCATGAAATGCTCTAATTTAGGAAAAATTCACAGCAAAAGGGAAGATGTGAACCATTTTCACAGTTGATGCCATCTCAAATGTGGAAATAGAGAATGAGAATTGGAAAGGGTAAAGGAAAATACTTTTTCCCAGAAAGTCATAAAAGCACATCAAATACTTTACAAGGCAGAGTCATCAAATTTTACAGAACCTCAGAGTTTTCTGAAAGAAAAAGAGAGGGCTAGAAAGAATCATGAACATACAGGACACCAGGAAGGCCACCAAAATGTGGGGAAAAGCAGGAAGTGACATTGCAGACACTCTCCAGTCAAAATGAAACTAGAGAGAGAGAGAAAGAGCATTATGTGGAATGGTAACACCAAGCAAATGACCAGGTACACTTCCAAACTCTGGCTCACAAGCAAGAAAAGTAGAAATCTGTTTGAAGACCACACTTGCCTGTGAAGACCACCTCTGTTCACTCCAAAGCGAGAGTTGTCTCATTTGCTTTACCTCCCTGTCCTTCAAGAAGCAACAAGTGGAATGTTTTGTTGTTGCTGTTGTTTGTTTGTTTTGTTTTCTCTACAGAAAGAAGTTGTTCTCTGCAGAGATAACATGGGGAAGCTCAACTGAACAACCTAATCTTATAAAACAAAATAATTTTAGTTGCTTCCTCTCTTTATATACAACGCATCATAAAATCACACTATTCTCATTTTGCATTTAAGAAACAAGGCCTAAGGAGAATGGTTTAGCCCTTTGTGATTGTCTGCAACTTGAAGGCAGTGTTGATGTCTTGTGAATCTCCACATCCCTAACAGTGCACAGGAACCTTACTCATCCCTAGTATTAACTGACCACCCAACTCACCCAGGCACTGTTATAGGGGCTCAGAATACAGCAGTGACCAAAACAGACCAAGTCTTTACCTTTGTAGACCTTAATTCTGAAGGGAGGAGATGATCAATAGTCAAATAAAAATATGAAGTAACTGCAAAGGAGGAAAAGTGCTATGAAGGATGTATAGGGTTGTGCAATAAAGAATAACTGGGGCTCTACTTGAGGACATCTCTCTGCAGAAGTAAGATGTAAAATAGGAACTTACTTATAGGGAGGCATATGAAAAGAGGTCCCAACAAGATCATAACCCTGAAATAAAGAACAGCCTGATATGTCAGAGGAACAGAGAAGAGGGTAGTGTGAGAGGGATGGACTGAGAAATAAATGGCTAGTACAACTGTCCCTTAGTATCCCTGGAGATTCCATGATACCAAGGAACCCTCCATGGATTCCAAAATCCACAGATGCTCACATTTTTTGTCCTTACAAAAAATAGTATCATATATGCATCTAACTACATACTTTCTCCCATATACTTTAAATCCTCTCTAGATTATATAATACCTAATACAAGACCTACACATTACTTCATTCACACAGACTCAACATAGTACGCAGCATGTGAGAAATTCAGATTTGTTTTTTGGAATTTTTTTGTTTCAAATTTACTGTTGGTTAAATCTACGGATGTGAAACCCATGATACGGAGGGCTAACTGTATTTTTCTGGGAAGGTACAAGGTGAGTGCCAGATCCTATAGGGACTTGGAGACTTTGGCTAGGACTTTAGCTATCATGTGCAGTGGAGAGAGACTGAAAAGTTTTAAGAAAGGGACAACCTAATTGAGGTTTTAGAAAGATCACTCTGGTTTTTGTATATTAGGAATGACTACAGTAGGGCAGAAAAAAAAAAGCAGAGAGACTAATTGGCAAGGCTATTATAATATTCCAGGAGAACAATTAAGAGCTTGGGTCAGGCTAGGCATAAAATAGAGAAAGTTAGACTGGAGATCTATTTTGGAAGTAGGGCTGGGAGGATATGCTTGTGAATTGAATGTGTGGAAGACACAAGTCAAGGAGGAAGCAAAAGTTTTTTATGGTTTTCCATCTATATGGCACCTGGAGGAAGAAAAAATTGTGAGGAGAAATAAAGAATTGTGCTCTGGATAGAGCTTGAGATGTTTACTAGGCATCCATGCAGAGATATCAAGTAGGTAGTTGGATAACTTCAAACATGTGGGATGAGGGCAGGACTGGAGAGAAACATGCTGGTTGTCATTAGAGCTTCTAAATGACATGTAATGTCATGAATATCATTTAGAGAGAGTATGTACATTGAGAAAAGAAGAGGACCCAGAGCCAGCTCTGTTTACAGCAAACATTGAAGAGTGAGTTAGGTGTAAGGAAAAGAACCAGCAAAGAAAATAGAACAGGAGCCGCTGATGAGTTGAGAGACAGGAGGGAAGCACCAAAGAAAGATTTCCCACAAGAATGTAATCCCCTGCATTAAAACATGTTTGGACATGAGGCAGGACCTGAGAACTGACATTGGCATTTAGCATGCAGAAGTCATTGGCGATGAAGTGATGGAGGTGAAAATCTGATCAGAGGGGCTCAGAGTGAATGGGAAATGAAGAAATAGAGACTGTGAACACAGCTCAGCTCTTTCAAGATGCTTTGCTGTGAATAGGAGCAGGTATTAAGGAGATGTCTGTGGTGGCAGGTAGAGCCGAGAGGTTGTTTGCCTGCTTGTCTGTTCTTTGGTGGACAACACCAAAGCATGTTAATGTAATGATGAAGTAGAGAGAGAAACATTAATGAAGTAGGAAAGAGGGAGTGAGAACTACAGGAGTAAAGTCAATGAAGATGGTCTAGGACTATAGTTCCCAAATGAAAGATTGACCCCAATAGTAGCAAAGCACATGTCTCCTTGTAACAGAAGGAAAACAAAGAATACAAGGACAGGATAATTCATAGTTGTTGAGTGAATAAATGAATAAATGAATGAATCAATACGGCGGTTACATTATGCTTCTTTCCCACAGCCTAACAATTTAGAGAATCTCTTAAGTTTTACACCATTCAAAAAGATTCCCTATCTCACATTTCTCTCTTCTCTAAATTTACATAATGTAGTTATATGCTACATAATGACATTTTCGTCAATGACAGACTGCATAAATGATGGAGTCTGCATAAGATTATTATCATGTATTTTTACAGTACCTTTTCTATGTTTAGATATGTTTAGATACGCAAAAACCACTGTTACAATTGCCTACAGTATTCAGTACAGTAACAAGCTGTACAGGTTTGTAGCCTAGGAACAATAGGCTACACCATACAGCCTAGGTGTGTAGTAGGCTGTACCATCCAGGTTTGTGAAAGGACACTCTATGATGTTTACACAACAACCAAATCACCTAATGCCACATTTCTCATAATGTATCCCCATTCATAGGCAACTCTATGAATGGCTTACGATCTGCGTAAGCCAAATGCAACTGCACGTGAATCTCTTTGTCTGCCTAGTTGCGCTTTTAAACCACGAGTGTCTTGCCTCCTTAATGAGATGGAAAAGCCTGCCTATGCCCCTGTGCCTCTCAGCACAGTCATCATTGCATAGCAGAAGTGCAACAGATATATGTTTGATTAATTGAGTCAGTTTTCCAAGGTCCTGTCCTACAATACCATTAATAATACCAATATTACTTCTAGCTCTAATATTCTGTGATACTCAGGCAACTGATTAGTAAACATATATTTTGATCACTAAACCAACAAATGTGATTGTAATACCACTGAAATCACTAGCTTGTGATTCTTGAAAACTACTCACAAGCTTGTTCCAACAGAAAAAAGGACTCTGGAGAACAAACCCCACAGAAGTTTAAGTGCGAAAAATAAACTCCCAGCTGATACTAAGACATTTTCCCATAACTAAATTTCCACAGCCTTTATCTTAAAACTGTTGAAGCTTAGAAGGTAATGAGTCTTTCCATTCTGAGTAAAACTATGTAACAAAAAGGTACTATTTTACTCACAATCTCTTTGAAGGTGGGTGCAAAAGCAGACGAGAAGGATTAATTGATATTTGGATATTTATATTTGAATTAATTTATATATGAAATTTTAATTATAGGATGCAAGCCTGTAATTAATTTAATTTTGTTTCAATTTATGAGGATGCACTTGGTTAATGGAGTGACTTTGAAAAAATGCTTTATTGAGGGATCTTATCTGTGTGATTTACTGTCTGGATATATGTTAAGTTCCTTTCATTACAGAAAAAATTGTTATGTGCCCTTGAAGTTGAATCCATTGCATGGGTTGGGGAGATGAAACCAATGCTCTTTTGTAACCTACAATTTCTAGGGAAAGAAGCGGATTCAAAAGAAACCTTGTTTGGCTTTCTTGTCATAAACCTCTTTCCCTGTGTATTCAATACACACATGTGCATTGCTGATTAATGCCCAAATCCTTGCTGACATTATGATAAGCTTTAAAGCAATCCTGAGGGAAAGGGAGGGACAGAGATTTGCCTTTTCTTATAGAAGGTATCTTAAAATGAAGGTTAGAGGAAAAGGAAAGGAAGGTGAGGCAAAAGTTGAAAGGGGGAGATGCAGAGATAGAAAAAGAAAATAGAACATAAGGGGGAAAATGCTACACAAGGTATTATCCTTGAATAACCTTGTTTAGAAAATTGTGGAAAATAAACCAATCTATGTAATCCCGTTATGAACTGTTCGCTTAAGGCTTTAGTCAGAGAGAAACTGTGTAATGAGATTAAACCACGTAAGAAAACATGGTTGTCTGCTCCTTGTTGGAAGAACAAAACAAAGAAAGCAATAAATAGACAATTATAATCCATGCCTCTCTCTCCCCCCACACTTTAGAAACAAAAAAGGAAGAAAGATCTCCTGATAATGCAAATGCCAAGCTCCTGCCTCTTCCAGCTGCACATCTTTGAAGAGAATGCATCTGTTTTCCTGATTCAGTTCCTAATGCTCGTTTTATTGTGATGAAAGAATGGTGCCATTTTAAAGGGAAAGATAAGTTCTGCTGATTATTCCTTCTTAGTCCGGAGTTTCTTCCCTTACTACTTAAGATGACATGTGAGGAAAATATTTAACTGTCCTGTAGTATTTCTTCCTCATGTCCAACTCCAATATACCCTTCAAAGTTTTTATTTTCTTTTTTGGTTGCAACTACTCAACTCTGCCGCTGCAGCCAGAGGCAACAAGTAATGCATGAATGTGACTGTGTGCCAATAAAACTTTATTTACATAAACAAACAGCTGGCCTGTGGGCTACAGTTTGCAGATCCCTGGTTAGAGGATAAGAAAAGTGGAAACAAGTGTTTGAGGCATCTTAGATAAAATAAGCCCCTATGTTTTAGTTTGAACTTCTTTACATGTCCTTTGTGAATTTAAAACATGGAGCTGTCACTAAGGTTGCTAGATGCACGAAAGTGAGAGTAATCATGAACAAAAATTCCTTCTATGATCATTTTTTTTGGTCACCTAAAATCAAAAGTGTGGCAGTGAAGGAAGAAATTAGAATAAGGGGCAGTGAGGGAAAGAAAGGGAAGGTTCTGAACGAACCACCAGGCTGGTGCCAGCCATGTGGATACATCTATTAATAGAATAGTTGTCTTCATAGTTGAAACCTGGATAAGTGGCGTGAGCATAACCTGGGATCTTGCTGACAGAGTAAATTCTTGGGACCCACCCAGGCCTAATGAACCGAAATATTTGGGGTGAAGGAAGTGTTTAGAATAGGGGCAGTGATGGAAAGAAAGAGAAGGTCCTGAATGAACCCCTGGGCTGGTGCCAACGATGTCGATAAGTCTTTTAATAGAATAGTTGTCCTCATAGTTGGAACCTGGAGCAGCAGCATGAGTATCACGTGGGATCTTGCTGACAAAGTAAATTCTTGGGACCCAGTCCGGACTACCGAACTAAAATATTTGGGGTATGGGCCAGAAATCTGTGATTTAATAGGCCTTCCACATGACCCCAATACCCATTCTGATTGTAGAACAATGTACTCTTCTAGAGAAACTTCTATGCCTCTTAGCTGTTGAGTATTTGTGTTCAAATAGGATAACTCCATTTCCAGAACCTTGGACATTCTTATAGAGAACTTTTGGTCCCTAGTAGGAAAAAATGAAGAAAAACTCAGAATGGTGGCAGAAATTAAATTATTAATGTGAATTCCTGACTATAGATTATTTATACTTGAGGACAAATTTTAAAATTCATGTGGGCCTAGTTTTTGACCTCTTTCTTTTATGTTCGATGATCCTCTTTTAATCGCTCTCTTTTCTCTGTGAGTGTGTTCACGGAATGCAAATAAATTCTTATTATTAGTAAATAAAAACAGAACTTGGAAAGTAAATTTATACTAAATGAGGTATATTTCACTCTAAGTCAAAAATTAGCAAGTCTGGAGTTGTGTACTATTCTGGATGAGCTGCTTTTCCCCTTCATGGCAAAGCAAGTAACATAAAATGAAGCATCAGTACCTCTTCAAAAGGAAGTTGTGAGGAAGCCTCGGGTATCATAAGTATCAGTTCCAAGACAACCTTGGCCAAAAGCAAAGAGACTTGTAAACATTCGAGTTCACACTTTGAGTTGTGTCCAGATGGGAATCAATTGCCAAGGAGGACCTAGAGACCCAACATGTTTACTAAGCTTGTGTGCTACAGTGAGTGTCCTTTCTCCCTTTAAGCTGATGAGTTGGGCAGTATAATTTCCTTTTTGCAAAAGTACAGTCCCTTTGCTAGTTGTTCATCTGCTCTGCCAGTGGCCAAACCCTGAAGCACAGAAAGCACATCAGAGTGAGGTTGTAAGCTCCGGGTAGAAAGGAATGAGGTGCAATGAGTAAGTGGAATAAGGCAGTGGAGAAAGGCAAGACTTCTTCACTTAATCTTCATCTAATGAGCCCTCCTGAGACCCAAACTTTGCCATAGCCTACCTCCTTTCCCAACCTTCAGACACAGAGTTCTAATCCCTGTTTCAAATTCAAGTTCATCACCAGTGCAGTTATTTCAGCTGTGTGTGTTAAGCAGCTCACAGTATGGTGTGGCAATATCTATTTCTACAGAACATTCCTGTCAGAGAAAAATCGATTAATTCAGTTTGCTGAATTTTCAGCATTTGGACCCCAGCAGCGTCTAAACATATTAACCAAGTTAAACATAAAAAGCAGTGGTAGTTAATGTTGACACTGTGAGACAATGGATTTGGCGGCTAGCAGCCATGCCCTATAAATTTCACTCACAGACACAACAGTCCTGAAGGTTGGCTCTGCAGCCTTCATCCAGAGTGGCTATTTCTCCATCCCCTCACCCAGGCTTCTCCTGACCAGCACTCAAATATGAAGAGTTGGGAGACAGAAGCAATACCTCTGGGGAAAGTCTCCCTTGTTAGAAAATGTTACCTTGAAATTTAAAATCAGTAACTAGCGTTCAGCATATACACAGAGGCCAGTGTAAATTCCATGCTTGTGTATACTCCTTGACTATAATGTTTCTCACGTAGCTCCTTATGATAGTACTGGAAATGATGGCTTATTCATTTTGTACATAATAAGGCCACATATTATGGTTACCTATTTTTTTCCTCCGACATCGTCTACTTAAGACAGAGGGAAAACTGCAAAGAGGGTCCAGGAACAACTGAATATGACTCCAATTTACATTTGCTATAACTAAAAAGTAATTTAAAATGTTACAATGAAGAAAAAAGCTACAATTAAACTTAGAGTAAAAACCAAATCACTTCAAGAACAAAAATTTTGAGAAGAAAATGACCGTCACCAAATAATTGTGCCAGTTCTCTTCTATATACAACTTTAAATGGGCTTAGGAAGAGATTTATTCGGTTCAGAGTCTATTACTGAACTCCTTGAAGATGGGTTAATTTAAACCTGTTCGAGACATCATCCTTTGGTAGTTATGGAGCCAGAGTCTCAAAGCCCTAATTGTAGGCTATGGTCTGCAGCAAAACCAAGAATTTCAACTAGTGAATCTCTCCAGTTAGTGTAGCTCCCTTCCTGCCTCCTGCAATTAATAGAAAGTTGGAGCTACAAGCTTTGTTCATAACTGTCCAACCTCCTCCCTTCACAGATAAGGAGAGAAATTGTTTGAGAGGTGAAAAATTTTGTCCAAAGTCATAAAACTAAGTTAGATAAGAACTAGAAGTAAATTCAGTCTCCAAATCCAAAGCTTTTCCAAAATGACATGCCTGAGCCATTTAATTAACTGGCAAATCTGAAAACCAATGAGGTTGTCAGTTCCTTTATATAAATTACGAGGGGGCCTCAATGGCCTTTCCAATGGCTTCTTCAAGTCTAGTGGGTAGTGACAATTTAATCTAAGCCATCAAGTTTCTAGAATCTTTCCTTCCAGCACAGTACGTAGTAATTTTAATAATCAAGTCCTAGATATTAATTTATGACTGGTGCTTATCACTGAGAGGTGGTTGCCTTTTCCAATGGACTCAATTTATCAGAGAGAGGGTGACTGGGGCTGGATTTTGCGTAGGGAAAATTTATCCATGTGCCATTTCTTGCTTTCTTGACGTGGATTCTTTATTCTAGGTAAGGTTAAAATTTTATAGAATATTAGATTAGGAAACTCTGAATATGACAGAAAATGATGGCTCATTCATTTTACACATAATAAGGACATAAATCTTGAATCTTGAAAGGTCTTTGACAATGTCTGATTTTATAGCCTAATATTGGTAAAATATAAGTACAATTAGTTGGATTTATAACTTGAACAACTGCATCCAAAGAACATTGGTTATTGGGATCACCCATACTCAAGGGAAAATGTTTCAAACACCATGAACTCTAAATGTTACCACTGGGCAAAAATAAGAGACAAACAACAACAAACCAAAAAACCAATCCAGAAGCAGTTGCCTACTGGAGTGGCACAGAGCTCTGACATTGGCCATGTTCAAGTTTAATGTTTTCAAAAGGAATATGATCAAATCAGTGGGTGGGGAAAAACAGTCTGGGATGTATATCTAATATATCTAGCAGGGATACTAGCTAGATATCTTTCCTAAACAAAATTTTCAAACATATTTATACAAAATAGAATGGCCAGGAGTATCTCTTAGTAGATTAAAACAATGGCAAGAAGTTGAAAGGTAGCAGAGGCAGGTGGATCACTTGAGGTCAGGAGTTTGAGACCAGCCTGGCCAACATGGTGAAACCTTGTCTCTACTAAAAATGCAAAAAATAGCTGGGCATAGCGGTGCATGCCCGTAATCCCAGCTACTCAGGAGGCTGAGGCACAAGAATTGCTTGAGCCTGGGAGGCGGAGGTTGCAGTGAGCCGGGATTGTGCCATTGCACTCCAGCCTGGGCGACAAATGCAAACTCTGTGTCAATTAAAAAAATAAAAAGATGAAATGTAGCAGAGATAAGTCTAAAAACTTAGAGTTAAAAAAATCAATAGGACAAGTATAATCAAGAGAATCTTGTCTTGACAGCAGTTGATATAGAAGCTATCTAAGAAATTTGTTGACCCAAAGCTCTGTCTGAATTAAAAGTCTGGGGGCGCTTCTGAAAAGAAGGTAAAGCAATAGGTGGTATTGATAAAATACAGCCTATAGTACAAAATATATTAGAATACAGCTGAAGAATTGTGTCATTTTTGAGCATTAAATTCCTGTATGAAACCTAAGAGATTAAACATTGTTTCACACAAGATGACCAGGACAGTGAGAAAAACAAAGCCATGTCATTTGAGTAATGTTGGAGGAAATGGTGTTTGGTTTGCAAAAATGACCCAGTAAGTGAATAAAAGCACTTTTATAATATTTGATGAGTAGTTTTAGGGATAGTTATTACATTTATCTGTACAGATCCCAGAGACAGCTAGGGACCAATGGGTCGAAGTTAGAGAGAGACATTTTTTGGTTAAATACGATAAAGAGGCTGCTAAAGATGACAGTCTTCAACCATGGAGGGGATTATATAGAAACAAATAGTTTATTCTGCATAATTATTAAGGCAGTCACCATGATTTGTTTTTTTTAAAAACAAATTTGTTGATTTGCCAGGAGGTCATATTCCATGGTTTTTAAACTTTCTTCTGTTGGGATTTTTATGAGTTTATGAATAAGTTTTTTTTTCCATTCTAAAGGATGACAGAGGTGATGAGAATTTCCCTTCTAATGTGAGTCAGGTCTGTGATGATATTTGCTCACAAATATATAGTAATAGCAAGCTTGTGGCTTTAATGACTAAGGGGTCTCTAATGTAAAATATTTGTACAACCTTCTAATTTAACATAGCAATTGAAATGATTTCTGTATAATTCCTTGTCCAATACCCTGCATGGATTCACTGTAATAAAATTATATTTCTCATATTAGGTTTCTGTCATACCTTTGAGCCAGGCCTTAGGCTATATAGACATGGCTCAAATGAATGAGAAGTTACTTGATCTGGCAGGCAGCTTTTCAAAATGAAGTCCATTAAATCCTATGGCCAGAACTGCCTCAAATAGTAAGCAAAATAAGCTTCTCTTCATGCTTCACTGATAAACTATAGCATTACTTTTGTATTTTTTTCTTTTCTAAAATGTTCTAAAAAACATTTTACTCATATTTTTCAGTAGTGATATTTAAAAAAAAGTAAGAGAACGGTAAGAAAGCAAAGATAAGACAATAAAAACAAATGATCCACTTCTTCCCTTCCAAATCTGGGTTAGGAGAAGAGAAACATATAAAAAGTTGTCTCCAAGATATGGTCATAGGGGAATGTGAACCAAGGTTCACCTTGGGAATCAAAAACTTGAAAAAGAGTGAGAGGCAAAGAACTGCATTGCTTAGATCTCTTAAAATGTCCTGTGTCCTCATCTCAAATGGATTCTCAATGCGATTCAGTAGTGTGTGCATTGAAGTTCTGGATGACGAAGCCCCTATCCCATTCCTCACAGCCATTAACATTAAGCATTCAATATTCCCCATTCCCTCTTTCTATAGATAATGTCATCTCCTCAATAAATAAGGACTCTCAAGAGTGAGTGCCCTCAACTCCACTATTCTCTATCTCTTTGCCCATCCCCCTGCCTTTTAAGTTTTATTTTGTTTTTAATAGACACTTAATAATCACACATATTTATGGGGTACAGTGTGATACTTCCATACATGTATACATTGTGTAGGTCCCTCTTAATGTCTTCTCTCCAGCCTCTAATCTGTTTCACCAAGCCTTACCACATCCCTCTGCCAGACAGTACACCTTCGTCGGATAATACTTTGACCATGATATTCACCTAGTCTAATTCTGTTAAGGCCAGTTTTTGCAAATTGAAAAAGTAATTAGCCCAGCGTATTATTTACAGCCCTTAATTCAACCTCTGCTCAATTTACCTTTCTTGTCTCCTCTCTTGCAAATTACCTTTATGCATCTCATTCTGCAGTATTGTCCTTACCTCCAAAAATAAGCCCAGTATTCTGTTGCTCCCATGTTTAGAATCACATTCTACTTCCCTCCCACACCTCCAACTTCTGTCTAGAGTCCTTTTTCACTATTGTTAACTTCTCAAACTATTTTCATGATTCTAGGGCAAATAACACCTTTTTCTCAATTGCTTTAGCATTTATCTGTTTGTATTTTGAATTGCATGGGAACATGTTTTATATCCTCTACTAGATTATAAACTCCTTCAGGGATGAGCTGTTTCTGAATGCCTCTTAGTATATAGTTTTAATAGACACTAAATACTTGTTCATTGATACTTGGAATAGTTATCAGTCTTTTTTCCCCTCTCAAATGCAAATGTAATTGGCTTGTCAAATGGGCCAAGCGCAGTGAGGTTACAGAAAGAAAAATACTCTATTTTTCTTCAAACATTGCCTGCTAACATACTCTACCATATTTCCCTCAATCTCTCCTTGAAGACATCTCTGGCATAGATGAATTTCTAGTCACTTTGAATTGTAAGAACAATCTTATTTATATAAACAACTATGATTCACTTTCAGGTATTAAAATATGATAGTCCCGTCTAACCAAAACGGAGATCTCATACTTAGCCAATATTCCTCAAAGTCAGAAAAAAAAAATTAACCAAAAGAAACTGTCACAGACCAGCAGAGACTGAACACCATGACAACTAAATGCCAAGTGTTATCCTAGTTCGAATTCTGAAACAGAAAGAGGAACAACTAGTGAAATCCAAATAATGCTGAGAGTTTAGTTATTACTAATATACCAGTGTCAATTTCAGTTTCTTGATTCTGACAGACATATGACAATGTAAGGTGCTAGTAATATGGGAATTCAGTGAGGGGTATACAGAAACCCTCTGTTCTACCTTTGCAAATGTTTTATAAATTTGAAATTATTCATTCATTCATATATATATAAAATCTCACCTTTATGCATTTTATTCTGTATTATAAGCATATATGTTTATATATCTGCATATAAATGTATACACATTGATAAGCATAAATTTCTGTAAACTAAGAAAAACCCAGTATATTACATCTTTTTCTAAGCTTCTCCCTACCCTACTCCCACTTGCAGCTCTGACCACTTTTGCCCTTTCAGTAATCTTTACAGGCTCCTAGGAGGGGTCTTATTCATCATCAGAAGAACTTGTCTTTAATTGTTCTCAATTTTGGGTACTTAACCAAACTTCCTTGATGATTAGAAGAGCCCTATTCCCCATCCTGCTACATATAGAAAGTGAATTTGCAGCTGAGGAACAGCAGTGAAGAGAAACTCTCTGATAACAAATGGAATGGAATGTGACCCTGGCTTGTACAAAAAGATCAAGACACTGACAAGGATCTTTAAAGCCTGACTAGATACTGATCTGCATGACACAAGATCAGTTCTGCCTAAAGCCAGGAAAAAGACTTAGAAGCTTCTGAAGGTGCCCCATTCTTTCCATGTAACATCTCTGAATGTCATTTTCTAAAGGGGCTGTTCCCACCGCTTTGAATCTTGAAAACAGAATTATTAATACAAGTAAATCTAAACGGCAGAAGCACTTAGGAATGAGCAGAGCACTCAAAGGATGTGATCTGAGGGCAGGACAGAAAGAGTTACATAAATCTGTCTGCAACTGACATAAATTGATCAGAACCTGACAGTCATTCAGAGAATTCAGTGGCTCTGGGTTACACTCCATTCTGAAGCACCTTTCCAAAGCTTCAGAGCCTGCCCACATCTCAGGAAAATGATGCTTTTACTCAAAATTAATATTTTCCAATGTAGTAAGGGATTCCATGATTTGCAGCTATCGACTTTTAAGAGAGATGTAATCACCTAGAACTCTGACATTTCCATGACATTTTCTGCTAAAAGGAAAAAATATATATATTTCCCTTTCTTTCATTTTAATTCAATGCTGAGTTAAAAACGGAGTGAAAAGGGGGAGAGGGAGCTTCTTGCTCACAAGTAGTATTCTCTCAGTAGCCACTCTGGATGACATGCCCCAATGTTCGTTTTTATGTTACTATTTTCTCAAATGTCTCATGTTCCCCTGATACCATCAGCTGAGGATACATTATAGAGACACATATGCCATCATGCTGTTGAAATTTGAGATTTTTTTTTCAGATGTAACATGCTTTATATTCAAGATTTTATTCACCAAGGGACTATCTTTCTGGTCTTGTTTTTATTATTGACAGGGAAAATGCTTGCCAATTTTCCTTTTTTATCTATTTTTTCCCTGACACATTTATAGAAAGAGTGAGACACAACTTCAAGTTCTATAAGGAATGTAAGGCTGGGGTATTATCCTCAAGGTGCATGATAAAATGCGTATCTTAGACAAATCGTTGGTGTAGCCGTCAACACTGTCACAAGCAACTTTGAAAGTAATGGGCAAAAACCACTATTACTTTTGTACCAACCTAATATTTTTAGGTGCAACTAAAAAGATTGGGCTACAAAGTATTTCTTTACTGTCAGAAAACCAAGATGCTAATGAACACGATGCAATCTTCCTTTCAGATCTCTGGAGAATAACACTCAATTCTTTTGGAAGAAGTAGCCAGAGTTCCTACTGAAGGCCACACATTGATAAGGTCACCTTCAAAGAGACCTATAATATCAGTAACTTACAGTTTAGTACACTTCGTCCACCTAAGCAATTAAGACTCACCATTTTATTTTTAACATTAAATTATATGCATTAAACACATAGGGAATTAATTTCACCAGCAGGGACTTTGGCAGCGACAGAAGCAAGTGTTACTAGAACTTCCAGTTTGATTCCAAAAGGCTGGCAGAGAAGCAAGAAAAAAAAATTTGGAAAGCGTTGGTACCAAATAATCTATTCCAGAACAGTCTGGAATCCCTTTGCCCTGAGCTTAACATCCCGGCACAAACACCAACACACTTCCCAACATTTCTATCCTAACTGGAATTCTAACTCTATTCTAATAATTCTTTTCTAGTGTTTCCATGTGCCCTGAAAGCAGCATGATGAGGAAATAGCCTTCCCAGTGTTGGATATAACACCACCAGTATAGGACCCAACGTGTGTCCGTTTGTTTGCTCTCAGCGAATACCCAGAATTTCCTCCACCTGGATGTGACAAAAAAGTTCACCACTATAACAAAGGAAACTCATGGTTCCTATGCGGAAGAGAGAAGAAAGAATGAGGGGTACAGCTATTTAAGTGTTAGACCAGCTCTCAGGGTATTTGATCCATAGATTGATGTCTACTAGATACCAACTCTATGAAGATACCTTACAGGTTACATCACATGTTTTTAAATTAAATAGATTCCTAAGCATAAAATAAAACAAGACAGGATGGGTGTGGTGGCTCACCCCTGTAATCCCAGCACTTTGGGAGGCAGAGGCGGGCGGATCACAAGGTCAGGAGATCAAGACCATCCTGGCTAACACGGTGAAACCCTGTCTCTACTAAAAATACAAAAAATTAGCCGGGCGTGGTGGCGGGTGCCTGTAGTCCCAGCTACTCGGGAGGCTGAGGCAGGAGGATGGTGTGAACCCGGGAGGCGGAGCTTGCGGTGAGCTGAGCTAGCACCAATGCACTCCAGCCTGGGCTACAGAGAGAGACTCTGTCTCAAAAACAAAAACAAAACAAGAAAAAAACAAAAACAAACAAACAAACAAAAACAAGACAAAAGAAAACCTCCTTCATGTATATCACAGATCTGTTGTGATCATCCCATGAGATACATTAGGGGAAAATAATAAAAATCATGCAAATGAAGCATCCCTATCACTAACATTTTCCAGAGGAGGCTTGCCTAGAGATATGGCAGCCAGCATGATGTCCATCCTGTCTATAACATCCAAAGTAGAGAAGGAAGAACAGCTTCTTATCACTCAAAATGCCTGACAGATATAGACTTATTTGTAGTAGCAACAAAGCAAAAGACGAACTTTGAGTAATTTGATGTGAAACACCCCAAAATAACATAATATGTTACATGCAGAAGGATTCTTAGTTTCTCTTCGACAGAAGTGGTCAGTCATCAGCTGGTCAACCATTCAGACAGGTGCTGTGCAAGAGATTACATAAGGCAAAAATGGCAAAATGTTTAAAGTACCAACATATACTTATGAGATATATTTTCTAAAGGAAAAACAATTTCCACAATCAAATCCATTTAAGTAAATGCAGAGCATACAATACAAGAGGAACAACCATCAAGGCTCTAGAAACAGAAGTAATAAAATAAGACAAGTATGTCTAGAGTCCAGAGAGCAAGACAGAGTGTGAGATAAGAAGAGGCTGATGAGAGGGCAGGGGTTCAGTCATGTTAATGCCTGCTCAGTCAAACTGAAGAATTTACACTCCATCCTAAGAGCCATGAAACTTTAGTGAAGGGTTTTAAGCAGAGATTGATATGGCCAGTTTTGTACTAAAAATGAAAAAAAAAAAATCAAAGCCACTCTGACTATAGTGGGAGCAATGAATTTTGTAGAAGGCAAGAGTAGGTATGAGTGATGACCACAAAATGATAAGAATATAGTTAAGAGGAGAACTGATGGGAACCTTGTGATTAATTGGGCATGTTGGCAGGGGATGGGGGGAGAGATGAGGAAGATGGAGGAGGCAAGAACCCCACGTTTCTGGATTGAATAACTGAGTGCAGGGTGGCATCACCTGACTGAGCCAAAGACACTAGAGCAGGAAGGGGCTTGTTGCAAAGATAAGAGCAAATTATACCAGATTAATTTCGAGAGATCTGAAGAGAAATTGAGTAAGTATTGGGGTATGTCAGTTTGGAGTGAAATTCTGGGTAAGCATATCAACAGGAGAGTCATCAACCCACAGAAGTGTGGATGAATGCCTCAACTCCCAATAAAATCTTGTAGGGAAAAGCATATACTTATTTAAAAAAATCCAATGCCAAAACCTATCTCTGTTTTCTCCTCTAGTTTATTGTCTACTTCATGCCAAAGTTTTTGTGTTTCTAAATCACATATGTAATCATTTATATTCTTCATATTCCCATACTACCCCACAGCACACTGAAGTAAGCTAATAATGGCTACCATTTCTGAGTACCCATTATAAACCATGTAGTATATCATGTAATTTATTCTGTCCATTTGCAAGGTAGAAATCAGTGATCCTATTATACAGATGAGAAAATTGAGGCTGAAACAGTTTACTTAACTTTTCTAAAATCAAGCAGTTAGTGTCAGAATGGGAATTCTAAAGTAGATTTGAATTACTGAACTATTTATTGTCTGTTGCTGTTTGTAATTCTTCAATAAAGCTAATAGGAGACACCCAACATGAAGATCTAAAAGACAGTTTACTTACAGTTTTTGGAAGAGGACTATCTCTGCATACATCAGCCAGTCAGGACATTTTACCCACCAGCACCTGCTCAGACACATGCTTTGTATCAAGGGGCAACTGAAAAATTAATCAATGTATTAATGAAAGAATTCATCTGCCTCTCGGAGTACTGAAAAACATGTGTGAGAGTGTATAAAAAATTAGGTACAAAACTATATATTTGTACCTATCAGTATGTTAGGGAATGGCTATAAAGATTTCTACTAGATGTGAGAACTGAATGGGACCTTGATGAACTCCTAAGAACTATTCAGAGGAAAGATGGCAGGGAGGGAGTTTTCTTCCAGGTGCGGGGTATAGGCACACACCTGGGAAAGACACCCTGTGAGCTGAAATCAGCAGAAGTTTACAGTGACTGATACAAGATGTGGTTGTCAGGAGGGGGGGGTCACTGAAGGTTTATAGGTGGAGAAAATAAAAGTGAGAATTAAAAACAAAACATAACTGATTAAACATACCTACAACATTTTACCACTATTTATTCTAACCACTTTGGCAACAAACATTCCTAAATCTCTGTCAAAAGGGGAAAATTCTAAAACTGAACAGAAGGAACATGAGAAAGAAAGCCAAAATTTACACTACTTAAAAGTCAGCAAACTGTAGCCTTTGGGGAAAATCTAGCCCACCACCTGTTTTCATATAGCTATGCACTGATAATGTTTTTTTACATTTGTAAATGGGTAGAAAAAAAATCAAAAGAAGATTTTGTAACTTAAAAAATTATATGAAATCTAAATGTAAGGGCCCATAAATAAGATTTTATTGAAACATAGCCACACCCATTCATTTACATATTGTCTAGATGCTTTCAGACAGTAATAGCAGGGCTGTCACCAAAGCGGCATGACTCACAAAGCCGAAAATATTTACTTCTGATCCTTTAGGAGAAAGGCTGCCAATTCCCTGTGTAGAGGGGTCCATGTCAATTTCAACGATTGTTCTGCTGTATATTTTTCTATGGAAAGGAGTTTGTCTATCCTTGAATTATCCTTGAATAAAACTAACCTTTAGTTTTATGGTCAGTCTTACCCAGTATACACCAACTCTCCCCCACAGAAAATAGTATTTCCAAAGGTATTTTAGGTGTTTTTTTTTTTCTTTTTCTTTTTCTTTTTTTTTTTTTTTTTTTTTTTTTGTTGAGACAGAGTCTCGCTCTCTCACCCATTCTGGAGTGCAATGGTGTCATCTCGGCTCACTGCAAACTCTGCCTCCCAGGTTCAAGCAATTTTCCTGCCTTAGCCTCCCAAGTAGCTGGGATTACAGGCGCCTGCCACCACATCTGGCTAATTTTATATATATATATATATATATATATATATATATATATATATATATATATTTTTTTTTTTTTTTTTTTTTTTTTTTTATGAGAGATGGGGTTTTGCCATGTTGGCCAGGTTGGTCTAGAACTCCTAATCTCAGGCGATCCACCCGCCTCAGCATCCCAAAATGTTGGGATTACAGGTGTAAGCCACCGCGCCCAGTCTTAGATGGTATTTTAAAAGCAAAGAAAATAAACATTTGTTAATATTTCTTTTAGAAACCAGTACATTTAACCTATTTTACCCTTTTGAAGATAAAAATCCTTTAAAATCCAGACAATAAGGCTGTCACTCCTACCTTATACAGTGATATCATCAACATACCATGAACTTAGCTCCTGTTTTATGGGCTTTTCTTGTAAGATAGTTCAGTTCAAGATATTTGAGTCATCTATATCTTCTAGCATTTTTTATCCTATAATTTCCAAACCAAAATTCAGAACACATAATTTGACAAAGATTTTTTTTTTTCAGGTCCCCGTCCAGATATAAGAAGTAATCAGAATTCCACAGCATATAATAGATTGAAAATTCTACAGCAAAGTTGTGCTGGAGGTAATAACAGAGAGGAATGTTTAAAATCAAGATGCCCCAGAAATTCTAGAATATATCATCAGTAAAAGTTGGTCCTTATAGGTGCCAAGCAAATAATCTTGGCCATGTTAACACCCAGCTCCATCCAACGAAGAAGCTGCCTGCCCCAGACCCAATCCAACATTACAGCCAAGCCTTAGGATGCTTAATACATGTTAATTACAAATGGAGTGAATGTTGCTTAAGCCACCCGGCATACTAGCTGCTATATTGTAATAAGATCAAAACCTCTGTTCGTCTGTCTCAGTCCTAACACCTCCAAACTACTGAACACACAGAATTGTCAACACAACTAAATTTCCCCCTTAGATAAATCGTATTCACTTTTTTTCGCCTTTCACTCTCTGATCGGTTGTTCCTATTTCTAAGAAATTTGTTTCTGAAATTTCTCTGTATGATGAATAGCATTTCCTTATGTTGTACCTCGGCAAAAGAGGCAAAGCATATTAAACATATGAATCAAATATTCCTTCCTGTCAAAAAATAGAAAAGCACACCTTTATATTTATTTACATTTACAAGTAATATGTCTCAATCTGTGTGAGCCTGGATTCACATTTTACTGAAACATGTTGCATTGACTCTCAGTCTGAGTTGGATGCTTGCTTCAAATACTCACTGGAGTTTATGGGATTTGCTGGACCCACAGGAATTCATTTTCCTGAGAAAATACGGACAATTGTCTGATGGTAGAATTTGATGTAAGGAAATTATGTGAGTTGTGCACATATCTCAGGGCAGATGGCAACACGAAGCCAAGTTTGGTTTTTACATCCCACTCTCCTAGTTTTAGAAATTATCACTCCCTCAGGCAAATTTGAGAATGTATGTTTACCTAGGCCAGTTCATAGTGCAAGGTTTAAGGATAAAAGTGCCTGCTTTCTAGACATGACAGAAATGGCATCTTTCTTACCTATAAAATTATTGTTCCTTAAGTTGGCACTCAGTGCCTTCTAACAGCAGGTTCTTGACTACTTCTCCTATGTGGTTCTTATGTACCCACAAGTAATATCAAATCTCTGGGAAATTAACTTCCAGTAATCTCTTTCACACTACTATATCTTTACTCACACCATACTCTCTGCCTAGAGGTCCCCTCCTCTCGTTTCCAAGTGGATAAATCTCCTTCTTTCTTTAGGAATTGGTTCAGAGAGCGTCTTCTCCAGAACACTTCTCTGTCCCCTTTGGGAAGGCCAGGTCCTCAGTGGTCTCAAAAACCAAACTCTCCTCTCTCTGCTTCTCTTTCACTATTAGCATCTATTGTTTATATGTAAAGATTTCAAGCTGAATATAAGGTGTTCAAAACAAGGTCTGTTGTGTATTTATCCCCAAATTCCATTGCTTTGCACATACATGATGCTCATTAATATTTGTGGGACGGAACTCCTACTACTTAAAACAGAGTATTAGAAATGCTGACTCCTGATTTTATAAAGGGAATGGTAAGTGATACACAGACACAGAAGTTGAGAGGTTAGGGTGGCAGAGACAGGGAGAAAGAAAAGAAGGGAGATAGAGCATCAGAAAAGCCATTTCTTTATAAAGAAGTTGCTCTCAAAATATAGGAAAAAAAAATCCTTGAAAATAGGGCCCGGAGGTTCCTCCATGTTGCAAGTCACTATCATTCCTACATTTATGCCCAACACACATTGCTTGCCTCTTTCCAAAATATCATTTATCTTTCCCACTGCTCATCCAATTTCAAGGCCCTACTCAAGTGTTATCTCTCTCAGAAAACCTCCCTGTTTCTCTGAAGCCCAGATCTCTAATCATCTTTTGTTTGTTTTTAATGCTTTTTGCATCATTTTTACACAGCATTTTACATTGCATTGATATCAAATTGTCATAGAATATAAACTCTACCTGCAATATTTTAAACTTCTTAAGAGATGGATATTTTTGTACTCTTTGTATTCTTTATGATACCACGCAAAATGAAGGGATTATGTAAGTGATTTCACTAAAATCAAATAAATCAAAAACTTTGTAAAGTGAGAAGATGTGAGAAACTTCCTCTAAAGAAGACTCTGGTGAGGACAGTTCCTTGCCCCACGGATTTCACTGGTTCAGATTTGAGCTATAGGCAGACAGTCAAATAGATAGCATTTTTATTGCCAAAAAGTACGCTCTATGGTCACTTTGAATTTGCTCATTACCTTTAGACTTTGCCCAATTAGATCTTGAAAATCCCATCTTTAAGTGGTACCCCGATGTTGTAGGGACTTCAAGTGCTCACTGTACCTGGATATCTTCTAATATCCTGGGCACAAGGAAAGACATGTTCATCCCTTTGCAAGTAGGGGCTAAGTGAAAAATCCTGATTAATGGCCCCAGAGCAAAAGTGATGGATGCCATATCCAGTCTGAGGTAGCTCAGAGTGGTCATCTCTTTCCCTGCCACAGTGGTCATGGAGTTGAGATGTGGACATGGCAGCATGAAATGATCCTAGAGCCTCTGTTAGTGACGATAGGGAGCAAATTTCCTGCTATTCCATATTGGACATACTATCTTTGTTGTGTAAAGCTACTGAGATTTTGGTGTTTGTTCCTGGCCATCCTGACAAATATAGCAAAAAAATGACCTTTAGCATTTCAACATGCGTGAAAATGTATAGATTCATACAAAGTTCTTTTCCCTTCTTCACTATCCCAATTTCCAGAAGTTTCAAAAGGAATTGAAAAAGAAGGAAGTCATAAATAATAGCTTAATCAGGAAGTCATCACAGCTCTGATAGATTGGCCATAACTTTGTTTTTCAAACATTTCCATTGACTTAATGACTTAATCCAGTATACTTACTTAATTTGCTCTTCCCCACATGTTACTCTCATAATCTATCTGCAAAGTCCTGAGCCAGTTACAAAAGCAATTCTGATATAAAGAAACAAACTAGAAAATCTCCTTAATGATTGATATCAAGTATTAAATATCTAAATTCTCTTTCCACCCCTCCATCAGGGGCTAATTAAAATCTTTACTACAACTATCTCCTGAATTGAATCCTAGTTCATAGCGATCTTTATCTTCTGAGAATATTTTGGCATTCATCAAATATCCCTTCATGTTTCCTGCCATCATATAATGTGCTCTTCAACTAGATTGTCAAGTAATTAGAATAATGATCACGTATGTTTATGTGTTTTCTTTCCATAGAGTACTAAACAGAAATAATATTGTTTTAGAATACCTACTTTGTACTAGGCACTGGATAAGGTCTTTAAATGTGTCATTCTTATTGACATCACAAAATCCAATAGGGCAAGTATTATGGTGTTTTTTGTTGTTTTTTTTAATAGACTAGAAAATTGGGTCTGGGAGTTTAAGCAACTTGTCCAACAATACATAGATAGTAAATGGTAGCACTGTGTAGTAGTAATTGCTTTGTGTTCACCAAAATGCATTTCTGTTTCTTCTGGGGAACAGAGCTAACTATATTTTCCAGCCTTCCTTGAAGATAGAAGTGGCAATTTCACACTGACTTCTAGAAAATTTACTATGGGTCACTTCCAGGCCTGGCTCATCAAAACCACCTATATGACACTGTTTTCTCTTTTCTCTGTCATTCCACTGGATAGTGAAACTTAGGGTAACCCAGATTGAAAGATTGCATTCTTTGTAGTATGCAAATATAAGTGATCTGAATAATAAAAGCTAAAAAAATTAGTTTAATTTACTTAATTGATACGACAATTACTCACCTAACCTCAACCACAGAACCATATTAAGCTGCATGAGATTACTGACTGGTGTCAGAGGAAGCAACTGTGGATTGGGTGCTGAATTCACATATAATTATTTCCATTATCCTTCATAAGTAATGCCCTTACTCAGGTAATATCCACTCTCTGATATCCCAAATAAAGTCTAGTCATTAAGTGTAGCTCAGTGAAAGAGTAAGGATAGCAATATCATCCAACTGTAATCAGACAAGGTGGGGTACATTTTCTAATGAGTATCTAAATCAGAATACCAATATATGGCTGAATGCTATTGTCCACATATAATTGTAAATGTTTTACACTCTGTTCTCTATCCGCTACTGAGCAGGACTGCTGATTAGACAATATTTTCTGGAGTTCTAAATTTCTTCTAAAGTACCACATCTTTGTATGCTGCTTGCAGCTGCAATAATATCAGAACAAATGGCAAGTTAATCTTAGCGATTGTAGAAGCAGTTGTGAAAGCCTAACAAATCGAATGCAGTAGCTTCTTAGTTGTAATTGCAGTCTCTTTCCTGGTTTAGCTGTACCACTTTAAAAGGAATGTCATATAACAGTAAGAGAATAACTTCCACTGCCTCTTGCAAATTTGTCACTTAGCCAATTTTTCTTCCAGAATTTTAAAAATATTATATTAAGAACAGTGCTTAACTTTTCCAATCTAGTGCTTAATTGTTTATAATAGGCTTCCACCCGCATCTTCACATTTATGTCTCAAACAGACCTAATAAAGTACATTTAATTATCTTTATCCATTTCACAGAAAAATAAATGAGTCTAAGAGATGTTACCTGACAAGTCAGTGACCATGATATAGCTATTAAATAGGAGATTAATGACTCAAATTCCATTTTTTTAGATTCCAGAACTTCAGCTCCTTATAGTAAACCATATTGCCCCAAACAGATGAGTGTGCATTAAATATATGCCAATAAATATTTATTAAGAGCCCCCTTTGAGCTAATCACTTTGAAGCATACCAACTGGGAATACTATCCTCTGCTCTTGAAAAGTATACAAACTCATTGAGGAGATAATTTATATGATGACTGTGTAGATCATATCACAAGTATAATCTGCATAAAATGTAATCAAGCAAATAAATGACAATGAGATGGATGACCCCTGTCCATTCCCTCATACTCTTCTCCTTTGCCTTGCACTATAAAAGCAGGGAAGCTACCACTTCACTTCCAAGCTTCCCTTGCAGCTAGAAATGGACATACTATGTGTGATTCTGGCCTCTGAGATGTCAGTGGAAATCTGGGGAGGGGACTTCTGGTAAAGACTTTTCCTTCCCCACAAAGAAGGGACAGGCACAGATGGTGCAACCTTCCTCCCTTCTCTGTTCTTTCTACTTTGAACTCAGAAATAATGGGAAGTGCCACTTTTCAAACATGAGGAAAAGGTCATTGCTTAAATAAAATTACAGCAACTGCATTCCTTCAGACTTATTACTGGGAGGGAAGAAAAATAGCCACCTATTGTTTAAGCCATTGCTGTTTCTGGTAGGTGGCTGAAATGAAACCATAACTGATATACATAGAAGCTATCAGATGTTCCCTGTTCCTTGAGAAGCTTTCTGACTAGCTGATTATTGAGATGGGACTGACAGAATTGGGGTAATGAAGTTGATAAGGAAGGAGACATTTGGTCAGATTGATGAAATGAAGCCAGAATACCGAGAGCATCAAATGCCAAGTTGAGGCTCTTAGTCCTTGAACAGCAGAGTTACATAAAGAAAACACATTCGAATAAAATTAATCTAGCAGTGGTGGGTGAGAAGGATTGTCAAGCTAATTAATTAAGAACTTTTCTACTTATCATCTTAGATGCCACCTTTACTTAAAAAAAAAATAACCTTTCACACATTCCCAAGCACTACTGCAAACCTAGCAAATATTGACAAGGAAATATAGGTTCTGACATAAATTATGGCCAAATTTCAAAATTCAGAAGAAAACAAAGTGATAAATTTCTTAGTAAACATACATAAAATGAGAGGAAAAATGAAAAATAGAACAATCTATGTAAATTAAATCAAGAAGGAAAAGCATATGCTCTTTAATGTAAAATGCTCTAAAGAAAGCTTAGCTTCTTCTTTTTAGGTTTTCTCTTTATTGAATCAAAAAAATTCTCTCTTCAGGCCTAATGTTTGCAGTGTCATTCCTTTCTGTTTTTCCTTTTTTCTTTATTTAACTGTAGATTTCTGTGACATATTCCTTGCTTTGTCAATTTTTGTTTTAAGAGAATAAACTGTGTGTGTGTGTGTGTGTGTGTGTGTGTGTGTGTATTAACTTCACATTTTAGGGTTTCTAAATACGTTTATTTTTTTAAAAAATAATCTCAACTTTTTAAGTTAAACTTTTATTTTGCTTTAGTCTTTATAGGTTTTATGAAATTTACTTTCTACCTAGTTTTCCCATCTTGATAGTTTTCCTATTCTCCTTTTCTTTACTGTCTTAAAAATGCTACATCTACAAAATTTTAGAGCTAGAAGGGAATTAGAGATTACCTACTCCTAATTCTCGGTCTAATGGATGAGAAAGCAGAGGCCCAAAGCTAAATAATAGAATGGGCCAAGGTCTCTGTCATCAGCTAGATTTGGGACTAGAACCACCCTGTCACACATGTTCTTTTCAGTTAGACGGTTGCCTCAAATTTTAGTATGTCTTGGTTTCCCTATAGTCATCTTATTGTAAATATCAGCTTTTCAGTCTCCATCCCTAGAGATTTTTATCAAGCAGGTCTGGAATTAGTCCTTGAAATTACACTATAAAGGTGCTTCTCAGGTGATTTTGAAGCAGTGATCTGTGAGCTACATGTTCAAAAGCACTGTGTTTTGACTCATCCAAGGAAAGGCCATTAGATACTCTTTTCTTGTCAACATAAATGTGTCTTTTTGTACTGATCAATAGGTAGGAAAAGCCCGTCTATCCTCTATACTTTGCATTATGTCAGGCAGCAGTATTTCCAACTCTAGGTAATATTCCAGGTTAAGTGTGACAATAACCTGCACCTTTAATTGTGCAAAGCAATTTTAAACCAATAGACCTAAGGCATAAGGCAAAAAGGTACTGTATTCCTTTGTCAAGTGGTAACATTGAAAATAAACTAAATCCTGCAAAATAGGGCATAAAAAGTAACCTGTGTTAAATCTCGTTTGCTAGAGTATTTTTCATTGTAAAAAAAAAGTCGTCTCTTTTGTATTTGCACCGTAATTCCTTTGAGTATTAATGTAAGCATGAGACAACTTATTGTTGAATATACGTGATTTTAATAAAGGCATATTACTAAAGAAAGAGTTTAACTGTTTATATTATGCACAAAATTTATTAAACTTATGAGTTATTTTTGACGGGTAGAATGTGTATACTGAACCAGGTGTCACTGATCCCCTGCTGGCATAATGTTGAGAGGGAAAAATGAGCATTTAAAAGAAATATGTTGTAAGTTGAATCACACACACACACACACACACACTTTGATACTAAGGGGAAGCAGACACAAACATTTGAGAAAATTAGCAATCATAAGAGATAAGGTAGAAGACCCTATATGATCAGCTATCTACATTGTATAAAAATACATATTTACGAGAATGCCTCATTCCCCTGAACAAATCAAGGCTTTCTATTTTACTCATAATACCTACAAAAGCATTCTGGTAACCAAAGAGACTTTCAGGAAATAATCATATATTCAAGTAAACACATTTGTGCTCATTAGAAATTAGACCTCTCTTTAGGATTATAAATATGTGACTATTTTCATTTGAAGAATGAAAGATATGTTGGATAGATTCACATGTACACACTTATTTCATCTAATATGTGATGCTCCCTTACCTTTAATTTCTTTGAAAAATTGCAGTGATGATTACTGATCCCAAGTCAGGGAAATTCACAGAAGAGCAAGAGCTTAGTGCATGAGAGAAGTGATAAAGTCATCAATTTATTTGAAGATAAGTCAAAAAAAGTAAGAAAATTACAGAAAAATGTGCCCAGTGACTATTCAGGACTCAAATATTTAGTTGGCCCTGGAATACAAAGGTTTTAGAGTTACTCCTGCATAAGACGGAAGCAAAATTGGACCAGAACAATATATACACTTGTGCTAATATAGGCATGCAAAAAGATCTAAGAACACTAGTATTTACATCATGATAATTCTACAAGTTTTAAAATGATGATTGGTAATATGTAGGAGAGAGGGTTAGAGCAGTTTCTAAGGATGGCTGCAATTTTGGTAAGCTATCCATGCTAACTGAAAACCTCAGAAGGAGTTAATAGTTCAAAAAAGAAAAGTTCATATTTATGTGGCATTAGGAGGAAGAAAAAAGATAAAATGGCAAACTCCTTCAGTTTATAATTAGAGGCTTCGGAAGTAGAAGTCAAGATACATAGAGGAAAACTGAATAAGCTTATATTATTGACAGCCTGACCAAGGGAGTAAGATAACAGGAGATTAGATGTTTACAAAGGCAGGTAAGCAAGAAAATCTATAACCACTTCAAAACAGGGGAAAAAAAAGTGTAAACTACAAAGTTGAGTCAAAATTCCAGATAGATAAATAATAGAAATTTGAATTTATGATATGATCACAAACTAGATAATAAAGACACATGTATAATAGATTGTAGGTAGGCATGCAAATAAACATTAAGTAAACATAAATTAACTCTCTGAATTTATAGAGAGTAAGAGACTGTTTCATTAAAAATGACTGAATTAATACAGCCAGATGTCTACCTCCTTAGAAAACAGCAACTTAGATAATTCTGCCTTTGATAATGAGATTTCTGGGCTTTTTTATTATTTTTTTGAAATTCGACTCAGAAGCAGTTTATGACCCACATGTAAAAGTCCTTTTTATGAAAAGGTTTACTGCATTAATTTTCATCTACATGAGATCTTTTGTTTCATAATCTTGGCACTATATAACTTTGGGTTATATAGTAAATCCCAATTTACTCACTAGGGATGAGACTTTTAACACATTGAAACTCAAAGAATATTTTACAAGCCACAAATGTTATTCAAGCTATTGTTAGTAAGTGGCAGAAGCCTAACATGAACACAGTTATATTTTGTAATTTTCTAAATGTCAAGGAAAGGAAAAACTAAAAACAAGTGGCCTAGTTAAAAAACAACACCAACAACAACAATGCGCAAAATTTTTAAGGAGAAAATTACAAAGCTTTATTGAAAGTGATTAAAGAAGATCCAAAGAAATGAAGTAATAAATGCAAAGATTATCTATAAAAAGAGTCAATGGTAAAGACGTTTAGTGTACTTAAATCGATCTATTAAGTCAAAGCAATTCGATTAAAATCCAATGAGCTTTTAGTGGCAACTTGATGAGCTAATTCTGGTATGCATACCACAAAAACAAAATGTTAAAAAGGCAAAAAACTTTTTGAAAAAAAATAAGTTAGGTGTGTTTTCTTGCCCAAATATCAAGATTTATAATAAAGCTACAATAATATAGACAGCATGGTACTAGCAAAAGAGTGCAAATGACCAATGCAATAGGAAAAAAGCATCCAAAATCAGGTTCACATGTACATGCAGATTTTCCACATGCAGAAGCATGATTTTGGAATTGTGAGGAAAACCTGGTCATTTCAATAAATAGAGCTGGGGACGCTAGTTATCAATGTAGGTGTGGGGGAAGCAAATCATTCAAAGTTCACACTGTATTCAAAACTCTATTCCAGGTCGACTGAGAGCCTCAATGTGAAGAACAAAACTTCAACACTTCAAGGAAAATAATAAATTATAGTAAAATAGTTTAATGACTATTTGAAAGAAAAGGATTTCATAAACAAGGCAGAAATAAAGCAAAACTCATTTGAAAAGGTTGAGAATATGACTGTTATCCATTACATAAATACTGGCCTTTAGGAACCATAGAAAGGGGATGGCATGGTTCCCAGAGACAACAGGAAAAAAGGAACAATGGTTAGAACAGGGGCGATAACAGCACGCAACACAAAGGCAGTCATTGCCTATTCTCATATGGTTATCAAGCTAAGATTTTTTTTTGCTTTTTAAAATATTTATAGACAGGCCGGGCGCGGTGGCTCAAACCTGTTATCCCAGCACTTTGGGAGGTCTAGGCAGGTGGATCACCTGAGGTCAGGAGTTTGAGACTAGCCTGACCAACATGGTGAAACCCCATCTCCACTAAAAATACAAAAATTAGTCAGGCGTGGTAGCAGCGCCTGTAATCCCAGCTACTCAGGAGGCTGAGGCAGGAGAATCGCTTGAACCCAGGAGGCAGAGGTTGCAGTGAGCAGAGATTGCGCCATTGCACTCCAGCCTGGGCTTTATAAAATAAAATAAAATAAAATAATATATTTATAAACAAATCAAAAGAGGAATAATATTACTTGACATGTGAAAAATCTGTGAAATTTAAATTTGGATTATTGGAACGCAGCCACATTTACTTGCCTTTGTATTGTCTATGACTGCTTTCACGCCACAGTGGCAGAGTTGAATAGTTATGACAAAGACCACATGTCCTCAAAGCTCAAAATATACACTATATGGCCCTGCACAGAAAAGGTTTTTCGACCCCTGGTTTTTAGATGGAACTGCACTGCTGTATTATTTATACCACTCACAACATTCTTAAAATGACTATCAGTTCTAAGACAGTCTTTATTTAAGGAAGGCATCAAAATCTATCTCCCAGATAGATTACTGTAAAACGGTCTCCCTGGCTCCAGTATTTCTCTCCTCTAATGCCCTAATCACCCTGCTACCTAATTGATCCATCTGTGGTTTGACTGTTCACATCCTCTGCAAAATTTATGTTGTAACTTAATCCCCAATGCAACAGTGTTGAGAGATGTAGCCTTTAAGAGGTGATGAGGCTATGAGGGCCTCTCCCTCATGAATGAAATTAGCTATCCTTATAAAAGAGCTTGATAGAGGAAGTTTGTTTCTCTTGCCCTTCTGCCATAGGAGGACACGGCATTCCACCCCTCTGGAAAATGCAGCATTGAGGCGCCATCTTGGAAGCAGAGAACAGCCCTCCCAGACATCCAAACATACTAGAGCCTTGATCTTGGACTTCCAGCCTACAGAACTATGAAAAAAATAAATTTCTGTTCTTCATAAATTACCTAGTCTTAGGTATTTTGTTATAGCAGCACAAAACAGACTGAGACACCATCCAAATGCAAATTTTCATTTGACTACCAAATTCCATATTTAAATTGCTACATGGGCTATGATCCGCAGAAGAATAGAGCCTGAGCTCCTTGACATGCACAAGAGGCCTGCAGCTGGCTCTCTAGGCTTATTCCTGGCCACCGTTTACCTCCCATCATACATCCTGGTGCTCCATAGTTATAGCTTTGCTGTCTATAGAAAAGCGTTCACTCCTTTCATCTGAGACTCCATGCATTCTTGGGCCTCCATGCAATTCTTAGACTATTTTCTGCCAGAAATGCTTTCCCTCAACATACTTACCCACCTACCTCATTCCTTTTTTGAGACTCAGCTAATATCTCACTTACATCAGAAAACCCCATCAGGGGTCTTGAATGAAAAATATGTAACCCCTCTCTTTGCTTCCTTAGCTCTCATACTAAGGGTCTCTCTTATTTATTCTCTTAACCTCGGTATTTAGTATAATGCTTTGCAAATGGTAAATTGTTTTTAAAAGTATAAAAACTAAACGTTATCAATTTTCCTTTTTATTCCAAATTTACAGATATAAATAGTCTAAGTGCAATATAGTATCTTGCTTAAGGGCCACACAAGGTCATGAAAATAAGCAAGCTAGAATTTGAATCCAATTTTTACTGACTCCAAAGTGTACACATTTTCCAACGTTATACTGCCTAACATGCAACTAACAAGGCTGTTTAGGGGCAGATGTAAAAATTCAGGAAAAACAATAAATCAAAACAAAATAGAGAGGAGCTGAGTTAATAAACAGGACATTTAAATGATTCAGTGCTCTTAGAAACCAAACCAACTCTAGAATATCTTCACTGTTCTCTACCTTGCAAATGAGCTTGCAACCATGAAACAGAGAAGAGCTTATTGAGAAGAATCTAGAGCATTTTGTTGAATGTCTTGCTTGAAGATCATTAATAATATTCTTTGACTTCCTGAAACCTGTTTCTACTAGATCAATTATTCTATTTCTCACCAACGTGCCTGTAGGAGAGCTGCACAGTTTCCTCTGGTTCCTGACTTTGATCTTTGTTCTACTAAAGATGTTGGTATTTCACTAGGCTAATCTTTTTGGCACCCGATGCCAAGGGTTTGGTCTCTAATAATTCCTTGCCTTCGCCTTAAATTCTAGACCAGTTTTGGCAGCTAAAAGGAAGGTTGAACAGAAAAAAATTGCTTAAACTACCTAATTGGTGTGATCGCATATTTTCTACTTTGTGAGGAGTAGCAAAAGCAATATTGACCCATCGCTGCCAGTTGACAGTGAAATGTCAGGACAGGGCTGCAACAATATTCTTTGTAATGAACCCACTCTGAATACCAAGTTGGGCAGGCTAGTGGAAATCAAGTGAGCATGAAAAAGTGTAAACACTTCTGATTAACAGCCAATAGCCCCAGCTGGAGCAGACACTATAACACAAAAGGGTCAGATCCAGTTCTGACAGGTTTGGCAAAGCAACCTCGTTAACAGCAAGATGAAACTTCATTTGCTCACAATTTTATAGGCCGTTTCAAAGACACCTTCTGCAAATTGACTTTAGGAGATGGAATTGCATTTAGCTTGACTTTTCTGGCAAAAATAGAAAGAATTTCACCGAGTCTTTCCTGATGCTTGTGGAGACTCAGATTCAAAAGGGGAACATATGGTGAAACAAAACAGGAAAAAAAAAATCACAAAGCCCCTATGCAAAGGAAGGCCTGGGAGATTCTTTTAAAGTGGCTGAATGTACTGGTCAGATGCTCACAAAATATCCAAGCAAGGAAAGCGAAGCTCAGGGAAAAAACAAACACGGAGACTCCTGAATGGCCCAAGGCATTCAAACTTAAGCCAGGCAAGATTGCTGACCTGAGCCATGTAGGAAGAAAGAGGCCATGTAGGAAGGATTTGGCTCTAGCTGTTGAAATTTACAGGATTTTAACCCTGCATATGTATAGCCAGCAACCTCATTGACAGTGTAGGAGAAATGGTAGAGGATTGGGACTTGTTCTCATTCTGATATTGTCACCAAATAGTTCTATTCTGTCTTTCAGCAGGTCATTTTATTACTCTGGGTTTCAGTTTCTCAACTGTAAACAGAACAAGTTAGATCATTGGTTTCAGATGTGTATCAGAATTATCTGGTGGGCTTGCTAAAATACAGATTACCCAGCCCAAAGTCTTGATTTAGTAGATGTGGGGTGGGGCCCTAAAATTTGTATTTCTAGCCAGCTCCTAGTGATGCTGATTCAATGATCACGAGGTTCAGTGATCACGCTTTGAGAATTATCAGGTTAAATGATCTCTAAGATTTCTGTAGATTCACTGTGCTCTGAGACCACTGTTGAACTCACCAGTGAGTTAGTCTAATTTAGATCACCACTTGAAGTAGCAATACACAGATTGGTTAAGTTGAACACATTATATTTGAATTGTGTTTCCCGTGTGAGTGTGTCTGGAATCCAGTAGCAGAATGTTAGTTCCATTACTTGGAAATTCTTATAGGTAGAAGGCTGCCCTGAAAGGAGGTCGCTATTAGGTGAACACTATAAATAAATGAAGTGAACAAGAGACTGGTACCTTCCAGATCTATTCCATAAAGATTGTAAGTGCTGAGTAATCTAAATTAGGAGCCAATAGTTGTAAAACATACCATTCCATAAAAGCTGTAGTCTGTACAGGTTGTAACCTTTTTAAAGTGCCTGAATATGGATACAAATGCTAGTATTAAATATGTTGTCCTTAAGAGAAGCATCTGAAAGAAGAATTAAAGGAAAAAACCATGTCTTGGCTGAGATTTCTCATGGTGGAGCTCTGTAACTCAGAAGTTTTGGTCTGGCATCTGCCACCTGGGTCCTAGGTCCTCTCTTGCTCTTGCTTGCAGATTTACATGTATGTAAAGTTCAGTGCTTTCAGAGATCTACCCCAGAAATCTATGGCTTCACAAATGTGTGGATTGACAAAAATAATATACCAGCTGAGATAGAATCAATGAAATGTGATTGTAGCTGGTTAAAATGCAAACACTATAAGAAAACCCCATTGAGCGATGATAGCGGAATGGACTGAGGACTTTCATTTGAGGGAAGCTAAATCCCCAAGTGAAGGGTTACACAGGGGTAGTAAGTGGAGAGAATGGCATGTTTAAAATGAGGGTGCGGATTTGAATGAGGGAAGAATGTATTTCTTAGAGCAGTAGGCATAATAAATGTGTCTATAATGAGCAAGTTCAGTTTAAAAAGGAAATTTAATATCTGGAATAGAGAAAATAATTTGGTTTGATGCTGTTAATATAGATCCCAGGAAAACTATTATAATGAGGAACAGAGTGTTACCCACCTAAAGACAAGGCAAAGTTCTTTCACGCAAAGACTAATGGACTATTTATTTCCAGAGAACATCAGAAATGTCAGGAAATGATGGGAGGTGTCAGCCTTCTTTGGGGATGGAATAAAAAAAGGCCTGGAAAGATATGATTGATCTTTTTAGCAAAGACTTGTTAGTCGATAACATCTGAGTAATATGCCTGTAAGTTTTTGTGCTTTAATTTGCTCATCCTTCCAGGAGAAGGACCATAACTTTTTTGTGATGTACAAGGCATTGGCAGGATGATCCAGTATGAGAATTGGAGAGGGAAGTGATACATTCCATAGCTAAAGTCTTTACAGTAGAAAACTTCTCTCCCTTGATCCTTCAGGTAGTCTTAACAAAAGAAAAATGTCAAACAAATAGAAGACCTCCATTACTACCTAGTGTAGTGATACAGTTTGAATATTTGTCACTGCCCAAATCTCATGTTGAAATGTAATCCTCAATGTTGGAGGTGGGCCTGGTGGAAGGTGCTTTGGGTATGGGGGCAGATCTCTCATGGCTTGGTGCTGTCCTTGCAACAGTGAGTGAGTACTCACAAGATCTGGTGAAGCGTGTTGCATCTCCCTTGCTACGCTCTCTTGCTCCTGTTTTTGCCATGTGATGTGCCTGCTCCCACTTCATCTTCTGCCATGAGTAAAAGCTTCCTGAGGCCTCCCCAGAACCAGATGCCAGCACCATACTTCCTGTACAGCCTGTAGAGCTGTGAGCCAATTAAACCTCTTTTCTTATAAATTATCCAGTCTCTGGTATTTATTATAGCAACACAAGAATGACCAAACACATGTAATATAGGTTGTTGAAGAATCAAGTCAAGGTAAGATGAAGGCAGTAACAAAAAATGGAACAATGAGGTTTCAGTTCCTGTCTCCTCTCCAATAGGCAGTATAAGGCCAAAGTCAGCAGGTCACTAATATACACCCAGACATGAAGGGGAGAGGCATCAATAGCCAAAACTAAGAGGAGGACTCAGGGATACTGGGCTTGGAAAAATAGCCTAAACAATGTGAGACAAGAATTATAAATTGCAGCTTATGGTGATGATCTGAATAATACTAATGATGGAATAAATCTAGAACATTCTAAGAATTTTAAAGAGCCAGCTATATGTGGATCAGTTCTTAATCTAAAGCACCCAGAAGGCACAAGTTTCTACCAAATATCCATCCAGGGGGGTGCCCTTTTCCTTAGATTTTTTCCTAGAGCTATGACTTATTATAGCCTTTTCTCTGAAGAGGCAAATCCCGAGTAAAAGAATAGAAGAAAGAATGCCCCTTTGGGTTCTCCTTCCAGCCAGCTGCCTACTCCCTATTTTGCCCTCTTATATTGAAACACATGGCCTTGTAGGTCTCTGACTTTCTGAGGTTTTTACATCCACTGGAATTGCATTACCTGGAAGCAGGAACTTCTGTGTGTTTATATCCCTCAGGAGCTCAATCCAGATTGGAGGAATGAATCAGTGCCTTACTACCTATAGATAAGTGGTTTCAACCTGAGAGGGGTGATTTTGCCCCTCAGGGGACAATTGCCAATGTCTAGATGCATGTTCAGCTGTCAAAATGGGAAAGGAGCGCTGTTGCTCTTATCTAGCAGATAGAGCTCTACAACGCACAGAGAACCCTCTCCTTCCCCTTTCCCACACATGACAGAGCATTGTCCAGCACCAAATATCGATTGTCGTGAGGCTGATGAAACTTATCATAAGTGATTAAAGTTTGTGTTAAGATTAATGCATTGATGTTAGGTTATACATGTAAATATTAAATTTTAAAAACCATGAAAGTAATATTTAATCACGGTTTTAAAAAATAAAGGAAAGCAGAAAGCACCAAAAAATAAAAATATGAGCAGGTCACAGACAATAGATAAATGAACTGTTAATTGTTTCTTCCCATTTCCATTTTAAAAGAGAATTTCTTGACAAAAAGACTTCAACCCAAAGTCTTGACATGAATGATATGTATTTTGGATACTAGTGGGATCCTGCTGCTGAGGGAGTTTTACGTAGTGGGAGGATGCAGATCACACCACGTGAATAATCAATTTGTGTAGTTTACCACGTTCTGACTTAGACCTTTAGAAAACTGGCAGGACATTGGCTTCTGAAAAACCCTGTAAGTTGGAAAATGGTTCAGAGAAGAAGCTTAGCCAACTTTTCAGCTTCAAAAATGTTTTGGATAACACACTGCAGGGAGAGAAAAAAAATCCCAGAAGATGATGTAAATACATACAACTTAGTCTTAGACCCAGCCATGAATCTATTGAATAAGCCTGTTTGTTGGTACCTACTACCTGAGGAGCATGGTAAAGGGCCAATCCTAGATATGACAAAAACTTTCCTGCACCATGAGTAAATCGAGCCTTGATAGTGGAAGTAAAATTGACCTTTAATATCTTGGCTGGGTGTGGTGGCTCATGCCTGTAATCCTAGCACTTCGGGAGGCCAAGTTGGGAGGATCACTTGAAGCCAGGAGTTTGAGACTAGCCTGGCCAACATAGCAAAACCCCATGTCTACTAAAAATACACACACACACGCACAATTAGATGGGCGTGGAAGCACACGCCTGTAATCCCAGCTATTCGGGAGTCTGAGGCACGAGAATAGCTTGAATCCAGGAGGCGGACGTTACAATGAGTTGAGATCGTGCCACTGCACTCCAGCCTGGGCAACAGAGCAAGAAAGCCCTCTTTCCTATTTCCATATCCTTATTTCATTTCCTTATTTCTACCAGAAAACCCAAAGAGGTTTAATTCTGCATATCACCTAGTTCCTTTGGCTATTCTGCTCAAGTCACCGACAAAGTCAATATTTCTCCAGTTTTGCCGGGAGAAAGGAGTTATTAGAGTGAGCCTTTGTAAAGTGAATTCCGCCAACAACCTAACTAGCAGCATTTGACTTCTATCACACTAGTTACTGCATGGCTCACCTGGGTGATACATATTTCTGTCCTCTTTGAGCCAGTTTTGACCAAGGATCTTGAAGAAAAGAAAAGGAAATAGCTGAATAATTATATTAATCAAATTCTGAGACTTCTGAAATGCTCCTTTCTTTCCTCTGCAAAAAGTTTCTTCTGCAGTGCCCTAGAGAAGTGTTGATCTGGCTATTTTTAGTGATTATTGTTACAATTCCAGATGTGAACTGGAAAGAGAGTTGAAAATATTGGGAGCTCAATTCTTGACTTATCACAAACTCTTTACTTTTGTCGCTGTAGTTTAAAATAATGGCAAAAGTAAAAACAGAAAAATAAAAGACTAAAGCATGTTTACTTTTAAATTCAACTAGAAGATGAAAAGGTACTTCCATTTCTTTTTCTCCAAGTAATATAAGACTATTACCAATTCATCCAGTGACTACAGAACTGCCTATGAGATGCTTAAGAATTTGAAAGGAGGCTGGGCACGGAAGCTTACACCGGTAATCCTGGACCTTTGGAAGGCCATGGTGGGGCATGTAATCCTAGAGCTTTGGAAGCCTACTGCTTGAGGCCAGAAGTTTGAGACCAATCTGGATAAGATAGTGAGATTCCGTTACTACCGAAAAAAAAAAAAAAAAGAAATAAATAAAGAAAGAAAAACAAAAAAAGAAAAAAAGTAGCCAGGCATGGTGATGAGTGCCTGTAGTTCCAGCTACTCAGAAGGCTGAGGCAAGAGGATCGCTGGAGCCCAGGAGATCGAGGTTGCAGTGAGCTGTGATCATCCTGTCTCAAAACGTAATAATAATAATTTGAACAGTGTAATTTGGCAATGTGCACTGAAGACCTTAAAGATATAATTTTGACCAAGCCATTGCATTTTCATGAACTTATATTAAGGAATAACTGGTCATACAAGCAGGAGGGCATAAACAATGACCTCACACTTAAAAGTGGAAAGTTTAGAAATATATGTTATAATTGACTTTCATGCAACCCATAAGAATTATGTTTTGGGAACAATGTTAATAATGTTTTAAGTGAAAAAAAAGCAGTTTGCAAAATGACATTGTTTAATTTAATTTTAATTGTATGTTTTAAATTGAGGAAATTTTTGTTATAATAAAAATTATTTTTAATTGTAGTAAAGATTACTTATTTTATTTTCCATAATTAGCATGCTTTTTAAAAGAATGCTAAAAAGAATTTTAAAAAATTATGAAAATCTCAAAGTCCAGAAGAATTTTCCTATATTGGATTAGCCCTCTCAGGTCATAGCAGGTTTTCCTTCCTGATAGAATCAATGCTTTTTAATGCATCAAATTCTAAGCAATGGTAGACATTTTCCATAAATAAAAAGATAAAATTTTTATTTGGCAGTGTGGTTAAAACTTCAATGTTTTTGATAATATAACTGCAGGATATTTTTAATGTTGGCTGAATTGCATTCAGTATTGATTTTTAAAGGAAAAATGTATGTGAAGACATTCATCTACTTGTAATCGACAGTGTGTAATCCATTACTCTAATAGCTTAATGGTCTTTTAACTAGGAAAAAGAAAAGCAACATACAGATTATAAACTCCTTTTTGGTCACCCAGAGATGGTAAAGACTTATCTGTGTATCTTACTTTGTAGAACTTAATTAAGCACAAGTATTTATCAAGTACTTTGTGCTAAGCACAGAAATCAGTGTTACCATGGGGGCACTGGGAATCGGGCCACTGGTATGACCACATGGATGGTTGATGACAACATCCATTCTGACGGACCAGTACCCACACTGCACTATTTCTTAAATGTGCCAAGAATCACAACTGCAAGACCTCATCTTCGCACTCTCAGCGCTTGCACCCTGTGTACAGAGACAAACCAGTGCTTCTGAAACAAACAGATCTGTGCCAACACCAGAGAGGCTCCTAAAGTGTCAAATTACGATCAGCATGGAAAAAATATTATTTATTCATGTAGACTGACAACTTCTTGAGGCAGAAAAATGTTTTTTATACTTTTTTTACTCCCTAATGTGTCTATCTTTTGGCTGAGCGTATATTCAGTAGCCAAAAACATCTGGTAATTTGCTAATTTTAAAAAGAATTGTAGACATCGACATTGCATAGCATTGGCTTTGGTTAGGCTAATGCATTGGATGTCCTTAGATCTCATTCTGTATGATAATGTTAACATACAGCTTGAAAAAAATTGCACCAAATTTAGTTTTTAATCCAAATTTAAAATAATTGCATACACACACACACACACACACACACCATTTATACCAAGGCACACCAGTGGATAATTATGTACAAAAATAAACAGAACCTAGATCAAAATTCCACATTTCACTTTTCTTTAATAAAGCATGGGCTTTAAAATGTTCTCAGAGCACTATGCTATTTTATTATGGAAAGTATATCTTTTTTTAAAAAAAAGCATAGATTTTTACCATGAAATGCAAAAATGTAAACTTGAAATCAAATCAATAGATCATCAACAAAAAATTCAGCAGTGAATCTCTCTTTCCTCCTTATAAGCCTTTCTCAAATAATTTATACAAACTGTGCAATATCTCAGAACTTATCTATGTTGGCTCTACCAGCAATATAATTGTGCGAGTCAACTTGCTTTAATTCCACATATAAGTCCCTTCTAAGTTCTCTGTTTTCCCTAAGACAGCTATTAATTAGTCAATAATTGCTTGAAGGCTCTAATTGATTGGCACTATAAACAGAAAAAGGCTTATATGGTTCTTTTATTTCTGAGCTGTCTTTAAGAATAAGTAAAATGTTAGCTACATTTTATTAGACAGAACAGAGAAGAGGATTGTACAAAAACCCATGGAAGAGGCATCACTAAACACCAGGCTGGCTCTTCCCTCTCTGCTTTGCAGATTGACAAGAAATAAATGAGGACTATGCATACACAGCTTGAGAACACATTCAAATATTGCATATGGATTATCTACCCTGATAATATCCAAAGCCTTCAGGGAAATTCAACAAACCCAAAAGCTTAGAAGGTTGACACTCTTGGATATACTTAGGTTATTTGTGTCATAGAACACTACATTCATTTTGTAAAAGTAGAAATAAGTTTCTGTGACCATTTCATTTCTGGAATTTCTTTTTTGCTTAGCAGAATCAAATAAAAAGTATCTGTAGACTATATTTTCTCTGAAGTATCATTCTACATATATTTGCAAGACATTTGCTTTTGTCAAGCTGTCTCACTGACCCCCCAGATCCTAATAGCCCTTCTGCAATTTGCTAAAAAAGTATTTGAAGCTCAGACCACATATGATTCATCAGTCACATTATTTTCAACATATTTTAAAGCTAGATCATTTGAACTAAAACCCAATGAGACATGTCCTGTTCCTTCTATGGGCATGCACTTTTCAAAGTACAAATTCAAAATACAAATGCAGTATACAAATTGTTGTATTACTGGGTTAAATTACCATAAAGATGAGGCAAATATTGTATATTGCCTGGAATTACGTAAGCAATAAATAACTAAAAAACTTGAGTCTCTGATTAGTCAAACCAGTAAAAAAAAAAAAGATGCTGTTGGCATATCATTGGTATAAAGCTCTTTAATGGCTTCTCACTGCTTTTAAGATGAAAACTCAGTCAGGAAATGGTCTAAGACTTGTGTTCTAGTCTTCTTTCACCTGTTCCTGCTTCCACTGGGTCTTTATACAGGCATATTCCTTCTGTCTGCTCCCTCTTTATGGGCATCTTTTCTCCCCCAAAACTGTCCTTGAAGTCTCAGCTTAAACAAGAATATTTCCTTGACCCTCAGAAAAGTTTGGTTCCCTTCTCATATGTACCTTTCTTTCCAGCAATTAGCACTAATTATGTGTTCATTCATGTAATTATTTAAGCCTTGTCTTCCTGACTAGTCTATAAGAAATGTGAGAGTAGGCAGCATTTTGATTTTTTGTTCTCTAGTGTAAGCCCAATATCTATCACAGTCTACCATCCTGTAGTCAGGGAATAGCATTTGTGTTACTCCAGTCCATTTATCAAGTGACCTGAAAGGCTGCCAGTTTTGAGTGGGGTCCAGAACAGGAGAAGGCTTTGCAACAGGTGCAGGCTGCTGTGCAACCTGCTCTGCCACTTGGGCCATAGGAACCAGCAGATCCAATGATGCTTGAGGTGTCAGTGGTAGTAGGAATTCTGTTTGGAGCCTTTGGCAGGACCCTATAGGTGAATCACAGAGGAGGCCTCTAGGATTTTGAAGCAAGGACCTTCCATCTTCTGCAGATAACTACTCTCTGTTTAAGAGACAGCTCTTGGCCTGTTACTGGACTTTGGTGGAAACTGAACGTTTGACTATGGGTCACCAAGTCACCATGCAACCTGAACTGCCTGTCATGAACTGGGTGCTTTCTGACCCATCTAGCCATAAAGTGGGTCATGCACAGCAGCATTCCATCACAAATGGATGTAGTATATACATAATCGGGTTCGAGCAGTTCCTGAAGACACAAGTAAGGTACATAAGGAAGTGGCTTAAATGCCCATGGTTTCCACTCCTGCCACCCTACCTTCTCATCCCCAGCCTGTACCAATGGCCTCATGGGGAGTTCCCCATGATCAGTTGACAGAGAAAGAGAAGACTAGGGCCTGGTTCACAGATGGTTCTGCACGACACACAGGCACCACCCAAAAGTGGACAGCTGCAGCACTACAGCCCCTTTCTAGGACATTCCTGAAGGAAAGTGGTGAAGGTAAATCTTCCCAATGGGCAGAACTTTGAGCAGTGCACCTGGTTGTGCACTTTGCATGGAAGAAGAAATGGCCAGATGTGTGATTATATAGTGATTTGTGGGCTGTAGCCAATGGCTTGGCTGGATAGTCAGGGACTTGGAAGAAACATGATTGGAAAATTGGTGACAAAGAAATTTGGGGAAGAGGTTTGTGGATGGACTTCTCTGAGTGGTCAAAAACCATGAAGATATTTGTATCCCACATGAGTGCTCACCAACGGGCAACCTTAGCAGAGGAGGATTTTAATAATCAAGTGGATAGGATGACCCGTTCTGTGGACAACACTCAGCCTCTTTCCCCAGCCACCCTTGTCATCGCCCAATGGGTCTATGAACAAAGTGGCCATGGTAGTAGGGATGGAGGTTACACATGGGCTCAGCAACATAGACTTCCACTCACCAAGGCTGACCTGGCTATGGCCACTGCTGAGTGCCCAGTTTGCCAGCAGCAGAGACCAACACTGAGCCCGCGATATAGCACCATTCCTCAGGGTGATCAGCCAGCTACCTGGTGTTAAGTTGATTATATTGGACATCTTTCATCATGGAAAGGGCAGAGGTTTGTCCTCACTGGAATACACACTTACTACGGCTATGGGTTTGATTATCCTGCACCCAGTGCTTCTGCCAAGACTACCATTTGTGAACTCAAGGAATGCCTTACCCACTGTCATGGTATTCCATACAGCATTGCCTCTGACCAAGGCACTCACTTTATGGCTAAAGAAGTGTAGCAGTGGGCTCATGCTCATGGAATTCACTGATCTTACCATGTTTCCCATCATCCTGAAGGAGCTGGACTGATAGAATTTTGGAATGGCCTTTTGAAGTCACAATTACAATGCCAACTATGTGACAATACTCTGCAGAGCTGGGACAAAGTTCTCCAGAAGGCCATGTATGCTCTGAATCAGCATCCTATATATGGTCCTGTTTCTCCCATAGCCAGAATTCAGGGTCGAGGAATCAAGGAGTGGAAGTAGAAGTGGCACCACTCACCGTCACCCCTAGTGATCCATTAGCAAACGTTTTGCTTCCTGTTCCTGCAACATTACCTTCTGCTGGCCTAGAGATCTTAGTTCCAGAGGAAGGAATGCTGCCACCAGGAGACACAACAATGATGCCATTAAACTGGAAGTTAAGATTGCCACCTGGACACTTTGGGCTCCTCCTACCTTTAAATCAACAGGCTAAGAAGGGAGTTGCAGTGTTGGGTGGGGTGATTGCCCTGGACTGTCAAGATGAAATCAGTCTACTACTCTACAAGGGAGGTAAGGAAGAACATGCATGGAATACAGGGGCAACTATATGAAATTTAAGCCTATTGTCATCCTCTACTGAGAATAGAAATATAAATCATAATAAAACTAGGATATTTTTAATATCAAAATGAAAACATTACAATCAAGACTATCAGTGAAAATTGGAAGAAAATGACTGAATTTGTTAAACATTATTATTGTTAATGTTGGATTATTCAGATTTGATTCAATAAGAATTTATTGATCTACCATGTGTATGACTGCTAGGTGTGACAGTGTTTTTGTTTTTTTTTTTTTTTTTTTTTTTTTTGAGACGGAGTCTTGCTCTGTCGCCCAGGCTGGAGTGCAGTGGCACAATTTCGGCTCACTGCAAGCTCCGCCTCCTGGGTTCACGCCATTCTCCTGCCTCAGCCTCCCGAGTAGCTGGGACTACAGGGGCCCGCCAAGACTCCCAGCTAATTTTTTGTATTTTTAGTAGAGACGGGGTTTCACCGTGTTAGCCAAGATGGTCTTGATCACCTAACCTCGTGATCCACTCACCTTGGCCTCCCAAAGTGCTGGGATTACAGGCGTGAGCCACCGCGCCCGGCCGACAGTGTTGGTATTCTAATTTAACCACCCTAATGCTGGTAAATTCTGAAGAAGAGTAGAATACTTAGGGAATTGTATGATTAGGTTTGCTTTCATATCTATTTTTGACTTTAATTATTGGGTGAGGGAGAATGAAAGAACTACCTTCAACTTTGACATACATGTCCACCAAAGAAAGAATTCTGAAGTGCTCACATTAATTTGTCTAACATTTCACATCAGGGGCTTACCTTTGGTCAACCTTTTCCTGACTGGAAACCAATCTAAAGATTTCCTTTAAACTAAGAAACTATTAGCCATTCCAGTGGAAAGATAAACAAAAGTTTAACTTGTATAATTGTTCATTATTTTTACTGCTATGAACAGAAGCTTCCTTTGACTATTTCAACTTGCTCCTAAATCTGTCTTATGTATGTGAGTTCTCTTTTTCTACAGAAATGTTACAGGTGATAATTTATATCTGAAAGTGAAGGAAAAAATGTTTTCTGTCTGGCTATGTAGTGCTTAGCTTTTGGGCATGGCTACATGTATGATGTAACATGCTTTAACACATCCACAGTTTTGACTCCTCATTCGACTGTCTTCCCAAAGAAAACACTCCTCATTTGGCAAGTTTGGTTTCCATGTTGGTTACCAGGAAGCCCATAGTTGAGGCACATTTATAAAGCTGAATTTCAATGCATTCTTTAAGCATTCGAGAATAAAGTGAACACCTTCCCAGTGAGCGTGTGCTTTGTAAAAAATACCGTCTTAGTGATATGTTAGCTACTCGAGACATTCTCTGGAAAAGACATGTACCTACTCTCCAATGAAGTTCTAAATGTTTAGTAATTATTGTGTTCTGGTACTAAGTGCAACTGAGAATATTCCTAAAGGAATGTGACTAGAGCCATATGCCCAAGGTTTATGCCATAGCATTGGGTGATTAAGTGAGGTAGATTACTGCCTAAAGTAGTGGTTTAGGCTGGGTGCAGTGGCTCGTCTCGGTAATCCTAACACTTTGGAAAGCTGAGGTGGGAGGATTGCTTGAAGCCAGGAGCTCGAGACCAGTCTCGGCAACAAAGCGAGACCATGTCTCTCCAAAAAAAAAAAAAATTATCTGGGCATGGTGGTGCATGTGTGCCTGTAGTCCCAGCTCCTCAGGAGGCTGAGGCAGATGTATCTCTTGAGCAAATAACTTGCCCAGGGTTATAATACTAGTAAAGAGAGAAACTGGGATTTGAACCAAAGTTGTCCATCGACAGAGGTATATCTGTGCGTTAGTCTAAACCACTGCACTATGCTACCTTTTGCAAAGAGCTTACTGAGAGTCCCTGCAAACTAACAGCCAGTTGGCTTTGCTTCAATCAGCTTGGTCCTGTCTCTCTGTCTCTCCATCTCTCTCTCTCTCTCTTTCTCTTTCTCCTTTTTAAATCAAATCAATATCTTCACATATAATGTTGGATCTAATGTTCTTACTGTATCTAAACATTCGTCCAATGAGCAGTCTTCCCAAGATAGGCTGATGTGCTGACAAATCTCTGTCCTCATAAATGGAAATGAGACCAAAGTGCTGGGCTAGAAGCCACGTTCCTTCTTCCTTGTCCTTTCCTGGTATCCCACTCACCTTATGTATCTTTCACAGTGTAGAATTCATCAAAGAAGAAAAATCAGCCCTCATAGTACAGCTGGTATTTTCACTGGGAAAATGATTCCAGATCTCTTTTACTAAATTACTGCAACCTTCAGATCCTCAGATTTCTCCAGTTATTATAATTCAGCTATGAAAAAAATGCTGTTTCAAGAAACACAAATTCTGAAACATTCACTATCTGCTTCTAGGCAGTAAGTTTCGAAAGTAGGTGGCTTTGAATGCAAAATACATAAAGAGAATAATGCGGAGATGAGAGGGAGTGAAAGAAAAGGAAGAAAGAGAAAGCAATTAAGGTTATGGAAATGGGACATTGCTATATAAAGTGAGTTATATTTAGAGGCCCTTGTCAAATTAAAAACATTTTTTCCAAACCTTTCCTAACCTAAGTCATATTTTACGTTGTTAAACCTGAGAAGATCTGTAACAACCAGAATTACTGTTAACTCTTATTCAGTTTATTTTTCACTTTTCTTTAAACTTTGTGACTTATGGCTATGATTCTAAATTATCATTCAAAGTATAAAGTGAAATATACACGTTAAACCAAACCGAACAGCAATAAACTTTGCCAAGAAAAGCTAATTATTCAGGGAATATTTAGTAATAGGTCATAATGCAATTTATCATTTGAAAAGGATGGATATAAAAATAGATATAGATAAATAGAAAGAGATATATTCTTCTAAATTTGTATAACTCTTTACATTTTACTAGAAAAGTATAAAAGTAAAAATAAAAATGCATTTCAGTTAAATTCATTTCAGTTAATTTCTGATATTTTGTGACAACTTCTCAAAGAATTCTTGATTTTAAAAAGGCAGATTTATTTCTGGGTATTTTACTCCAAAGCCTTTGTGCTCTTCAGAAGGAAGGAGTTGAAATGAAATACTTCTCTCCAGTGTTTTTATTGCACATTGATCAATAAATATTTACAGAGTACCTATCTTACGCTAGCTTTTGTAGGCACTGAAGTGGCAAAAGAGAACGAAACAGATCAAAAAATTGTATCCTCATACAGCTTACCAAAATATCAGATATTATAGTTGTTGATTTATCAAAGAGATTGCTTCAGGACCATTTTTTTAATGATATTGTAGAGAGCCAATATAGAAAGAGGTCCCTATTTGAATTTTCTGTCTCTCAGATACTCTATAATTTTTGCCGTGTTGATTATATTCTCAAAGCTAGTGTTCAGAAACACGTATGTTGGACTTGACTATATTTCCTGGAGCCATGGCACAGATAGCTCATGTGTTCCACCATGAAAGAGATGTTATTAAACTGTCAAAGACACCAGAAAAAAAAGTTGTCATTTTCTTCTCTTCCCTCTTTTCCCAGGGCCATGCCTAAATTTTCCTCTTCTTCACTGATTTCCTGACTAGTCTCAATTTCACAGCTGGTGGCTAGCTATAAAAGAGAGTATTCCCATTTGAGGAACTTTACACGAAAGGCTGCCCCCTTCTGATATATTGAAGCCATCAAAGAAAGTAATGGCCCTGTCCCTAGTCATCTTTTATCTAGTTCCCACAAAGTGATGGAGAATAAGAAAGTAAAAATGTAAAGAGGCACTATTCCAAGCACAAGCCCTTTTCTCTGATTTGAAGCTTTAGAGCTGGTGACCAAAACTTCAATGGCATTGTCACTTCAAATACAGGTACATTTGCTTATTGGTTTGCTACTATAAACCAAGATGCTGCGTATTTCCACAAGAACTCCCCTGGCTAAATAACCAGCAGAACTGTGAGTAGGGAGATTAAAGATGCTAAATGCCATTAAGCCTCATAATTCAACTACTTTTTACATCAGCATGAGAGAAATTGTGCGTGCCAAACTGAAAGCCATCTTCCTATTAAAGGGGAAATCAGAGGTAGGGGTGCATTTTCTAATAACACATAAATAGCAATACTCAGCAAATATTAAAAATGTCCTTCATTAATTAGCTACCTTTGGAAGACTGTGCAAATTTGTGCATGGGGGCAATTGGGCTGAAGAATATCAGTTAAACTTAATATATTTAGAGTTCAGAAATGATAACCATACTATGTGCACAATCACATGTGTGTATTTATGATGAATTAATAGAGCTTTGTAGATGCCTTGTCTAGCAGATGATTTACAGTGCATTATCCTGATGGACTAAAAAAGGAATCATAAAAAGTTGCATACGGTAGAAGATAATGGAATGAAGTCCCTTGGTTTCTAGTGCATGTTATTGTTTTCTAGCGTATGTTAACTGCATTCATGACCACCAATAGTTAGTTCATCACCCTAAGTCTGGTGATTAATTTCTGGCCATAGGAGTACTTGGCAAAGGCACCTACCCTGTCAATCAGAAAGTTGTTAGTGCAACTTCCAAAGACAGTTTGAGCATATTGTGATTGTGAATAAATAATTTGCAAAGTTTAACTCAGAATCACTAGCCTGTTAGTCTAGAAAGTCACCAGCATGTCTCTGACATGTTCCTGGAGTTTGCTAAAAAAAATGAAGGGGTGAAGAAATCAGAGGTATATAACATAGAGCATGAAGGGTAAACAGTAGTAAGAAAGAGGCAAAAAAGAAAAAGTGACATGTATAGATGGGAAGGTGGGATGCCATCAAAGCCAACAAGAGATTCTTATCTCTTTTCTTACTTATATAGGCTGTCACTCACCCCTGAATTGAATCCCATTCCACAAATATTTATTGAGCTCCAACTACATCTAGAGCTTCAGTGCTATGGGGAGTAAAAATAAATATAATAATCTCTTATACAGAATTTTGCAGGTTGTAAAGTTCTTTCTCAAACTATCTAATCTTCCCAGCAATATCATGGCTTGGGTATTATTTTGAGCATATTTCTGATGAGATAGTTTAAATAGTTTGCCTAAGGCCATACAACAAGCCTTTATGAAGCAGTGATGCCAATCCATGTTTTCTGGTACCAAGACTCACTCTTAAAACATATGAGAAACTACAAATTTAGATAGATAGATAGATAGATAAGATATATAGATAGAAAGAGATGTTTGTGTGTGTATAACTATATATTTATTTATGTATTTATCTGTCTATATTTATATCTAAATCTGTATGTAAGTTATAATTGATGGCTAAATTGCTAAATGAGCCTAGAGGACAGAGAGAGATTCTTTTCAGCTGGAGAGGGGAAAGAAGAGCAGATCAGTGGTTGAATTGATAACAGCTTCAGAACTGAACACATTGAACAGATACTTGAAGGAAAAATCTGGAGTATTTAAAAAACCCTGAATGTGATTCAAAAGACTACTGATAGCTAATCTTGGAAACCTGGTTCTAGTGTGAATACCACAGTGGTTAAAAGGCAGGGCTTAGTGTCCTCATCTGAAAAATGGGGATAGTCATAGCCTCAGAATTGCTGAGATAATTAAAACAGATATTCCTCATGTCACTTAAAAGGCAACCTTAGCTAGAATGATGATGACAACAACGTCAATAACAGTGCTGCTCTAGCTGGTGTGCGCATCCCAACTCAGTGTTGGTCCAGGTCTTCCAGGCATCCATAGTCTTTCTAAGCTATGTGATGTGATAAATCTTTCATTTCCAAGTGACCAGATAACTTTCCTAAGCAAAAAATAATTTGTCTGTGTAATTTATAAATACTGCAGTAGAGATGGCTTCAGCTATGGCTTAATTCAGGGAGTAAAACTGGGTCCCTGTGGCGAGGTTTCTCTTGCTCCATATCTCTTAACCTGAAATTGCAACATTCCCAGTCTGGCCTTCTCTGCAGAGACAAAAGATGTCAGCAGCAACTCCTTTCAGTAATAAGTCTCTTATCCAGAAGTCTCTAAAAATGTCTCATTGTGAGTTCGAGGCTGCAGTGAGCCGAGATCGCGCCACTGCACTCCAACCTGGGCAACAGTGAGACTCTGTCTCAAAACAAAACAAAACAAACAAAACAAAAGTCTCATTTTGTCTTTGATTCTGATTGGGCCTTAAGGTCATCCTTGAATCAAGCATAATGTCAGGAAAACAAGATATTGTGATAAGTTTAGACCAGGCACATGGTCCACTCTTGAGTGGAAATTGAGCCCAACTTGCAGCACAGAGGCTAAGAGTGCGGGTCGTGATTTATCTAGAAGAAAATTATCCTGGCATTCCCTCCCCGAAAGAAAGGTGAATAGCAACTTTTAGTTGCAAAAGCATATGTCCAATACATTAGCATATGTGCTCTTATTAATTCATTCTTCTTTCCTGGGATATATTTAAAATTTTCCATAATTTTCCCTTCTTTCTTGATCCAGTACAATTTTCTAGGGTGATTCTATGTACTGAGTTAGTGATTTTGACATAATTTCTCTTCAAATGAAACTATTGGCAACTTCCTGCTTTTGCCTTTTCTAAAATCAGTTGTACCTTTTTAATTCAATTGCTTCCAGATTTTTAGTTTGCATTTTTGACTCATGACAATTCCAGATAGGTCCATCCTAACGTTCCTTAAAAGAAGACTAACACACAAAGGCAGTGCAGAACTGCATGCAGATTGAAGATTCAAGTTCAAACTATGCTCTTAACCTTGAGCCTTGGTTTCTTGGTTTATAAGATACAGGTCTTATCTGTTCAGCCTAATCCAACAGAGGTGTGAGGATTATAAATGCAGAAGCACACACACACACATACACACACACTTATAAACTACACAATAAAAGATTTATCACTATTATTACTATTCTAGGAGGAAGAATTTCAAAAAAAAGACTGTTCTAGTCTTTGCCCTATTGCATATTATGCTGTGCCATTTAGGGCAAATCATATTTGAAATAAGAGTTAGAAGATGAATTCTAAGACCATCCCAGCTATGATACCCTGTAACTTTCTAATTGCATATTCCAAAGGAGCCTTCTTATAATACTTTGTATATATTTATCTTTATAAAGAAATCTCCCAAGCAAAAATAATGACTCAAATAATGGGAAACCAACCTGAAATACTCATGGCAGCAAACGAGAACATTTCATTTCAGCTTATAAAATGATTACAACTACTTTATCAAAAAATCAATTTATTCTTATTTTAAGGATGTGAGCAAAGACTAAGAGGAAGTGCTGGCCTTAAATATGTGAATTTATCTTATTACATATTATAGGATAATTTGAAAATTTATAAGCAGTTGCTTAAATTACCTAAAGTTCAGTTGCTTAACAACCTGATTTCTTTTCTATTTTTTGTTTTTCCAGACGGAGTCTCACTCTGTTGCTGGGCTGGAGTGCAGTGGCGTGATCTCGGCTCACTGCAACCTCCACCTCCTGGGTTCAAGCCATTCTCCCGCCTCAGCCTCCAAAGTAGCTGGGATTACAGGCTAATTGTTTTTGTATTTTTAGTAGAGATGGGGTTTCACCATGTTGGCCAGGATGGTCTCAATCTCGACCTCGTGATCCACCCACCTCGGTCTCCCAAAGTCTGGGATTACAGGCATGAGCCACCGTGCCCAGCCTCTAATTTTGTTTTGGAATACACTTTTAAGTAATTTTCTTTTAGTGTGCTTTCAGAAGATAGTTTCATAAGGCAAGTGCCTTAGACCTCTCAAAAATAAAACTTCATTGAAAGAAAGAAAGTGAAAAAATAAAGGATGCTAAAAAGAAAACAAAACAGAAAGTAATGCTGGACATCATGGATACTCAGAGTTACAGAGGACAAAAATTTCATACAAATAACACACATACAACAAAAACTTCGAATTAAAAACAACACCTAAATGTCTATCAAGGGTTATGGAAACTTAAATCCATAAAATGTATCATCAGCTCCTGAAATTATCTCATGCAGCGTACGTTTGACTCCCTCTGCTCAGTGATACATGTGGGCAAAATATAAGAACTTAGCTGGTAAGAACTAAAATTGAATCTCTGACTCCAAGTTTGAATTCAAGGAATACCTCACTTTCTGTATTTCTGCCATAACAGCTCTCAATAAGCATAAAACAATACAGTTTTTGTTGTCTGCATAAGAGACATATGACTGTCTAAGATTAAATCTGGACATGGGTGGATGGCAATAGCATATCCATTTTGCCCCACCTAAATACTGCCATCCATGTGTAAATAATCAGGTTGGAAGGAATAGCAAAATTGCTTTAGAAGATGGAGATAAAGCCTGAGGGATGTGTGTGAAGAATAATCCTCGTTGCCTTGGTGATCCTTGGTGATAGTTAGGGCTGTAATGAGTTGATGGCATATAAATCATTCCAAAGCCATTTTTAGCACGGGTAGGTGAAATCATCTCCTCTCTCCTTACCTGTCATTATGTTCCTTATGCTCACTAAATCGCTGTCCAACTACTTGTTTTTAATATTAAGCCTGGCATCTCTTGAAGGTTCCCTTTCCTAGCCTCCCATTAGGTGGCATCAGAAGAGGTTTAAACAACAGCAATCTCTGCCAAGAATATGCCTATTTCCAATGCAAAATGGAAGATTCTCTAAAGCCTAAGGCCAAGGGCAATCTTCCTGCATTTTTCTTTCCTTAGAGATTGCTCTAAGCTCTAAATTACAAGCCTTGCATTACTTCATCTAAGTGGGGAGGGGAGATGAATAAGAAGATAAGAAAAAAGAACTGTCAAGACTTTATCTAGAAAAGAAAAAGAAATTTGAAGGGAATAAAGGTTTTCAATTATATGACAGTTAAAAATAACTATGGAACCATCAACTTAAGAATTCAACTTTGGGATTCTGCTTGAACTTTCTATTGCAAACGTTAGCACAGAAACTCTCAAGTGGCATTTTATTTCATTTTTTAAAAATAATTCTGTTCATCCAATGGAAAGATAGCTATAATACTTGAAAAGACACCATGAAAAGCAGAAATCCCAGTAAGTGATAAGCATATGAAAAGGTAATCAAGTTGATTAGTGATTAGTAAATGCAAATTAAAAGTCACCTAGAGATATCATTACCCTTCCATCAGATTAGCAAAAATTAAAATGTCTGACAATGCAGGTGACTGCAAGGATGTGCAGAAATAGGAACTGCCATTTGCTGTTAATGGAAATATAAATAGGAAGTTACACATATTCTAAACAACTGCAATGTGTCTCCTAAGTATAACTGAAGTTGATCCTGCCTAAGTGCATCTTGATTCATGCTAGAAGATGTTCAGAGCTGCACTGTAACAGCTATAAATTGAAAACACCCAAATATTGACTATGTTGATAAATTACCATATGTTCATAAAATGGAATATTATACAGTAAGAAAAATGAAATAAAACTGCACATGAAATGTGTGTAGAGTTCACAAATATAATGCTCATTGAAGGAAGGACAGGAAGGATGCATAAAGCATGATTACAAACATAGATGAAACTACATTATTTTCTTTTTTTTTTTTTTTGAGATGGAGGCTTGCTCTGTCACCCAGGATGGAGTGCAGTGGCGCAATCTCAGCTTACTGCAAGCTCTGCCTCCCGGGTTCACGCCATTCTCCTGCCTCAGCCTCCCAAGTAGCTGGCACAATAGGCGCCCACCACCATGCCCGGCTAATTTTTTTGTATTTTTCGTAAAGATGGGGTTTCACTATGTTAGCCAGGATGGTCTCGATCTCCTGACCTCGTGATCCACACGCCTCGGCCTCCCAAACTGCTGGGATTACAGGCGTGAGCCACTGTGCCCGGCGGAAACTACATTATTTTCTTTAGGAATGAACCAGAGGTAGTAAAACATGAGGTTGGAGGAAGCAAACACTAAGTTCTGAGAGCTGGCAACATTCCAGTTTCTGATCAGAATGGACCGCCGAGGTGCCCTCTTTAAAATTATTCTACATATATACTCTTAGTCACGATAAAAAAATAAAAGTCCAGGCAGCTTCATTTGTCCTTAATCCCGCTAGTCAATTATAGCAGGGCTACGGAAATTGCTAGACTGGAAGATAGCTAACTCTAGTACAGAGCCATTCCCAGTTTCACACTTTGTTGTTGGATTGCGGACATCTATGCACTTGCCATTTCTTCTCTGTAGGAACATTCTGTAATGGCGTCTAGCAAAGGAAACTTGATTTCTTTTTCCGGTATCTTTTCTCTTTTCCTCAAAATTTGCCTGCCATGAAGATGATTAACTGATCTTTTTAAACCTCATGCCGCAAAAATCTTAAAGAACCACAAAAGACCAAGTTGTTAAACTTGTAAACAGTAGACGCCATAACAATCTCCTCTTCAGGATGAAGAAGTCTGGAGAGAGATCTTCCTTCGCTTACCCATCTGAATGAAAAGCCCAGATGCCTGCTTTATTGGTTTTGGCATGTATTTATTGCTAGAAACATTCTGTCTGCAATTGTTCCACTACCTTAGCACCTTTCCTCAATGAGGTTACTTACTTACTAAGGGCAAAGAGTGTATTGACTCAAGTAGATGGGGCAGATATAGCTTTATTTTTTATATCCCTAAGTTATACCTAAAAGAATAAATTACAACGAAATTTCTATTTTATGGAGCAGTTGTGATGATCACATGAAATAACTATGGAAACATAAATTGCCTTCCTTTTTCAAAGGCACTTACTATTATTATCACTATCCTAAAAATCACACTATGAGTGCGATTTTTCTACAAAGGTAGGAAAAAAACAACTAAGAAACTAACTCAAATAGTCAAAGAATGGTAGGAAATCATGTTTAGTGACTTCCAGACCTATAACTGATCTTAAGAAAGAATAAGAAAATTTCTGTCCAACTGATACACTAACACATTAGGATTGGGTACAAAATAGAACATTTTATTTCCAGAACCTTCCTGACCACGTAAATGCAGTGAATAACGTGAGTAATAAATATCCTACACCATCTATCTTTCTGAGTATAACGCACCTCTATCCATTAGCACTTCTTCTCAGTATCACTTAGGTTTGCCTCTTTAGTATAAGCATAGAGTATGTATATTTTAGTAATTTACTAATTTTAAATGCCCAAAGCTATGAAGAAGTTCTCAGGTTTTCTACAGAATGGATACAGAGAGAAGATGGTTCTGGTATGTGGTATAAAATAGAATTGGTCCAGAAAAATATAACTCATTAAAGTCTTGGGCTACTCACATCTTAATGACATCAGCAACAACAAAAAGTAATAACATAAATGGGCTGCTAAATTCCAGATGTCATGATTAGCTATGACTCTTAATCCTTATAAAAACCCCACGAGGCAGATGCTGTTTTTCATTGCAGTGACCAAAAATCTGAGCCTCAGAGAGTTCCAATGACTTGCTCAAGTCATTGAAAGTACAGTGTACCTAATTCAGAAGGTCTATGACTTTGCATTTCTAAACAGGTGTTAAATTTGCTTCATTTGTATGGAAGCCTATTCACATATGACAAGTTATTGGACACTGTTCTCACAGTCAACTCACCTTTGTTACTAGTTGATGCATGAGGCAAAGAAAACATTCATATACCATGTTGAAAGAAAGGGACAAAGAGTGACTTCAACAGTGGACTATAACCAAAAAGAAAGAAAACAACAAAGTTGTTTAGGGGAATTTATTCTTTACTTTCATGGCCTAAAACTATAAAAGTTTTGTGGTTTCAAACTACATTAAATCTATGATTGCAATGACTCAGCGAGTAGAATTTATTCAAGTGAAATTTCTTCTTACACTTAAATCAGTCTGGCTTTATAATTCACTTCCGAAATTCTGGAGTTTTCTACATTTAATTCTAAAGAACTATTCCATAGCTCTATCTAACAGCTTTATGAAGAAGGTTATAATATTATGCTTCAGTGGCCTTAAGGAAAATGGGTGTTGCTGGAAAGAGATATTGCTATTATTGATGGTGACTTAGAATTCTCACAGCTGTTATGAATTCTCTTATATCAAATTTTGTTTTGTCCTCAATGCCAAAGTATGCACTTTTATTTTATACACATCCACATTCATAAATGCAGGCTTCCACACTCACATATTCCTCATAAATGGTTAGCCAAAATAACAATGGGTTGAAAAGAAAGGCTTGACATTTCACAGGAGATCAAAAACTCGGAAGCATATAATCAATATACTTTTACATTTTTAAAATGATTTAACAAAGTGATTTAAAAACGTTAAACAACATCATAGAAATTCAAATATTTGCTGAATGAACAAATGGATGAATGATTGACATGCTGTAGACTACAAAAGATGAGGTGGAGGCAATTATACAGATGTGTGTTGGACTTAAGAATAAATTTTCTGGCTATGCATGTGGTTAAATACTTGGATAGGCTACTTAGAAATCAGAAGCAGAAGGAAAATAGGCAGAGCATGTAGAAACCCATGAAAAGTATGGTGATAGGGCAAAAACTGATAAGAGGTGGTCATCCTAAGAGGGAACAGTCTGGGACTAGGAATCTGGACATCTAAAATCTAGAAACTGCTGATACTAACTTGATCTGTTACAAGTCACTTAATACAGTTACTTAATTTCTTCATCCAGTTAAAAAAGGGAGCAGTGCTCAAGATGGTCTTTATGGGCTTTTCCAAATTCAGAAAATTCTCTGATCTTAGATGTAAAGAGTCAGTGGGCTAGGTCAACCAGTGAAATAGAAAGAGACAGCAGATGATCTCACCAGAGGTTAATTCAGCCCTTGGTAATTAAAAGAGAACGAACAGAAATGAAAACACCACAAATGAAATTCTAAGAACACTAAAATCTAAGTTTCTGATTTTAGAACACTTTTAGGCCATCTGGTAAGGAAAGTTGCATTTTAATTTCGTTGTGAGAACATAATAAAAAAGCATATATTAAGTAAATGCTACTTATTGTTAAATCCTTGACACCTGTCTAAATGGTCCTTTTTACTGCAGGAGAAATAACTTCAAGGATGATTTAGTTCAGGCAACTTAAAGGCTGAGGACAGACAAGAATAAAAGCTCTCCTTCTTGCCCCCTAACTTCATTATATCCATAGGATAGAGAAGTATATAGCATATGCATTTATTTTTTTTAAATTTATGTTTAAATATACATTTAAATATGTATTTTTATTATTGATAGTAAATCAAGTATTATTAACCATACAAGATTTATTACATTTTTATTATTTTATAACTAAGAGAATAAGCCATTATTTGGAATTTTCCCAAAATGCATTCTAAAGGTATATGTGAACTTTCCTGTTACAAGACAATGCAAAGGTGTTTCTATCACATTACATACGGTTTCTGTTCAATTTTGCCTTTCTTAGGCCAGGGTGCTTAATAGGTTTTCTGGCAGTAGACACTAAACACTTTTAAGAGGCATTTAATGTGAAGCATTTGTTTACCTGTGGATTTATTATTAATGAAAAGCCAGGCAATGTACAGTTCAAATCAGGCAGACATTAAGTGGATCAGTCACTTGCATTATTAAAATGTACCCTGAGGGAATAGGGATTATTCTCCACATTCAATTATTCCTAATGTAAGGAGTCTCCCTCCCCGCACTTTATATCACTCCCAGGAAGAGAGCCTGTTCTTCCCGTTGACCTTTCTAACTGTACACAAGATTCTTGGTCTGCCCATGCTCTGGATCCCCACGTCAAGAATGGGAGGTGAAGCAGAGGCTGCACCTCTGGGCAGGGCCCCACTCCCTCTCCCCCTTAGCACGCCTTCAAAGCAAAGCCCCACGGGCAACAATACAGTCACGGCCCTCAACTGCAGGTGCCTGGACTCCAGGAGCTCTAGAAGCTCTGACACACTATGTCCCCGGAGTCTGTGTCTACCTTGCCAGGAGGCAGAATTCTGTCAGGAAACATGCTTCAGCTGTCATCAGTGGAGACCTCAGGAACCAGGGAAAGACAGGCTCAAGCTGCCTTGAAATCTCGATTAGGCAGGGTTGGAAAAACAGAGTAGTTTAAAAAAAAATGGGACAGGGCAGTAAAAAAACTTAGGACTAGAGATTTTTCCTTTCCCTCCTTCCTGATTCTGTAGCCCACAGTGTCCCACGCTGTATCTGTCGACGAGGGGGATATTTATATCTGGCTGCCCACTTGTGCTTTGCTTTAGTGCCTCTGTTTATTGCCAGCAGGCGCTGGGTGTCTGCAAAAGCCTAGAAAGCCCGAATTATTTCTATGGAATTTTCTCCACAGGACACACATAATATGACTTTGGATGTTCCAAACATTTATTTTTTTATGCTGCTAAAAATGTTAAGGCCTCCCAAAATAGTATTGTTATTATCTTCAGTCATATTGTATTCCATGTAACATATATGTTACATATGTTCTATGTCCATATATATGTTCTATGTGTGTTTTAATTTTGCCATTAGATTGACCACTCAGCAAACTCAGCGCATGCCACTTAATAATTAATACAAAAATCCTGTGGAATCTTTGTATGTTTCCATACATGTTGCTACTGTGGAAAATTGATGGACATATTGAAGTCAGTGCTTCCAACGACTGAAAGACCAGAACCGAACCAGTTTCCCAAGGGATTGCAGCATGGAATGCTCTCCCAGGCTTGAAGCTGAGTCCCTGGTATGGATCTGATCTGATAGCAAGACCTCACCAGCCTCCACTGTCTCAGCAGCCTTGACCTGTTTTGTGCCTGTGGCAACAAAGGTAAGGTAGTAATGAGGGGTGCACCGCTGATGGGAACAAGAGGCTCACAGAGTCAGGGCTCATGGACACTGGGAAGTAGTGCAAAGCCCATTGAAGGCTGCAGTGTTGCAATGGAATTCTAGTGTGAAGTTACATGCCATTTTCAGGAGTAAGACTAGTCAAAAGTTTTGTTCTATCAATTTTCTTAAGCTGGTCTGGGCAAGAATACTGGGAAATAAGAGGGACAACTGGGATATTTTTCTTTCTATAAAAACAGGTGACCATTAACAATAGAAACACTGACCCATGCTTGCCCTTTTCTCTGGAAGTTACCCGTAATATATATAGGGTGATTCCCCCACCCATAGAGGCTACTCTCTGACCCCTCCTCATAGTCACCACTCCTTCTCTCTCTTTCTCTGTCAGATTCCTCCATCTGAATATTTTGAATTTTCAAATAAGACTCCACACATTGGAGTTTGGGGAGCTGAGTCATGTTCCTGGCAGAGCTCTGGTTTATGTTCCTCAGATTTTCTAGTGCCTTTCAAATAAAATGCATTTTTTACTCAAGCTAGAAAAAGTTTTTGTGCACCTTGTAACTAATCGTGGCATAAAAACAGAGTCAAAAGTCAATAAAAGAAGGAAAGAATGTGCATTTCAAAATTACTCATCCATATAGATTTCCTTATCCTATAGATCAAATTATAACCCCTAAAGTAAGCTAAAACCTCTTAGCATGACACAGCCAGCTAGAAAAACTAATTAGTCTTATTCTCTGACCAAAAAAATTAATAAAACAATGATACCAAACCTTTGAGGATTAACTTCCTGAACTGTACAGTACAGAAAGAAACAGAATAACGGAAAGGAATTCAGCAAAATAATGATCATTATTGCCCCAAAAACACAAGCTCATGTCTACCAAATCTTTTAAAAATATCAACTTTATGTCACATATTAAAGTGAATTTAGTATCATGAGACCAAACTGCTGCTTAGGCTCAAGTTTCTAAATCCATTCTAAACATCATAATATGACACAAAACAGTTTCTACAAATGTGAAAATTATGCTAACAGGTTTGTTTTCACTTTTGATATTCCCTAAAAATTGTTGTTATTGCAGCATCATTGCTAATGAACCCATAAACCATTTTACTAAAAGGAATCAATATATTTATAGTACATCTTCCCCCTCAAATACCAAGAGATGATTTATTTAAAGCTTGTTTAACATTAAAGTTTCATGCAAAACCAACAAACCCAGAAACATGTCAAATCAACTTGACATTTTAAACTATACATCTCCTTTGCTTCCTGTATCTAAATATTTCTATATAAACGGGAGAAGCATCTGCTTCCACCTAAGAAGGCCACTGGGAATTTTGATTTAAGTGCCATTTAATGTTCATTTTTAAGCCATCAAGCAAGCCACAGCAGATAATCCAATAGGCAGAATGTGTGTAATTACGGCTACTTCAAACTACCTGTCAGGCCGTTAGAGATTTGCTAGCTCTAGGCAGCTTGCAGTTTGAATTATTTAAATAAAATGCGCTTAATAAATAACATTAAATTAATAATGTCCAATGTGTCTATATATAACTGAGGGAGCTAGATACCTTAAATAAGAGATTAACTAGTTCACTCATACTAGGATCCCAGTATTTTGACTCCTAATCCAGTGTACTTTCTCCATTTTATTTTTCTTCTTTGAATTCAACTACGACTTTAAGATTATAAACAAATGGGTATTCTCTAACTTATTTTGAGTATACATATATATAATTCAAATTGCACTTAATCCCTTTATATTGGGAAATACAAATAGCAGTGATATGTAATACACATTGCCTTTATATTTTTCATAGCCCACATTTCTTTCTCTAGCTATAACATAAATGGTTAATGCTAATCTACTTATCCCTGGTACACCAACTCCACCCCACCTTACTCAGTCATCACATTTTTCTCATATCATTCCCCTTTTAGCATAATGCCAGAATTGTAGTAGTCACTAGATAAACATCGGAAACCTTACAGTACTTGAAGCCCTAGAGGAAGTTCCATATTGCCTGTGAAGTTAATGCAAGTATCCTATAATATATTTGAGACTCCCTTCAACACAAGCTTCTACATAGGAGTATAGAGTATGTAATTTTCCACCACTTTTTATTTCTTCATCATTAAATCTCTAAGTCATGTTTCCCTCAAATAATTTTAGTATACATAGCAATAAAGATAGCTAAGATTTATTGAGCACTTTAGATGTGCCCGGTCATGTGACAAGTTTTTTCCTTCACTGTTAACTCTGTGAGGTTGATCATTAAGACTGTGCTCACTTTATAAGGGAAGAAATGGAGGAGCATGCAAGTTGAATAATTTGTGCAAATCTATACACCTAGCAAGCGACAATACTAGGAAATAGACCCAGGTGTGTCTTACTCCATAGCTTGGGCTGAAATGCGTTGTGTTCCTCTTTTATCCAGCCCAGTGCTTCACACACAGTACAGATTGATGGCAAAGTGCTGGACGGCTATGTAGCTGGCAATAAACATCCGGTAAATCCTGTTATGATCTATCTTGTTATTACACAGACTTATCAATGATTCAAAGCATGTTCTTCAAAATATAACAACTCCATTATAAAAGCTGACTTTACACAGTCAGCACGTATGGTAAGTGTTAGTCCTGTATCTCAATCAATGGGAGATATATATACAAACAAATATATTTTTAAATCATAGTATTTCTAATGCACAAGACAATCCCATAATTAGTGTAATTTTTAAAAACTGTAATAAATTGGAATAATTTTAAGCACTTATTTGAAAAATTTAAACTTAGGCATTTAAAAAAATATCATTCTAGAGTGGAAGTTCTATAGTTGCAGAGACCACACCTTGCACGTTCACTGCTGAATTCTCGCAGCTCACCTGTGCTTTTTGTCTATGGGTACATCTAAATGAGAAGTGTGGGGGTGTGTGTGTGTAAGCACACACACATAGTGACATATAGTAAACATATGAAACTCACAGAATTATACTCTTTAATTTGTCCAAGTTATGAAAAAAAATAATATTTATTAGAATCCTGAAGTATCAATTATTTTTTTGAAGAAATAATAATAGCAAGCACTTATGAAGCACACACTGCATGCTGGTCTCTATTAGAGGAACTTCATATATCTGTATAAAAGCTCATTTAACAACTCTGTAAAGAGTCACCATTTTTTCATTTTTATCTTTTGTTTTTTAGTTGTTGCTTATGGCAATAGTTTGTTTCTTTTTTTACTGCTAAAGAATAATACATTGGATGTATCAGTTTGTTTATCCATTTATTTCATTCATTTGTTGAAAGATATCTTGGTTGTTTCTAGTTTGGAGTGATTATGATTAGAACAGCTGTAGACATTTGTGTAGCTTTTTTTGTGAGAGCATATGTTTTTATTTTTCTAAGGAAAATAACTAAGAATAGGACGGCTGCCTCATAAGATAAGTGTAGTTTTCTAACTTTTTATTTTCAAATATAAACTCAAAAGAATTTAGAAAAACTATACAGTGAGACCTTGTCTACCCATCACTCAGTGCACCCCCCAAGTACTAAACCAGTTAAAGAACTGTCATTAGCCAAACAAACCATTATGAAAACCAAAAAATTGATATTTGCACAATATGACAAACTAAACTACAGACTTTAGTCAGATTTCATCAGTTTTGTAGGTGCTCTGTGTGTGTGCATGCATATTAAGTTCTGTGACATTTTATCACAAGTATAAATTTGAATAGTTATCATCACAGTCAAAGTACAGAACTGCTCCATCCTGATAAAGGAATTCCCTCACCTCTCTGTTTTTTTTTAAGCTCAATACTGCTTATTTTGCATAAATTTAAGGGGTACAAGTGCATGGACATACTGCTTAGTAGTAAAGTCTGGGCTTGTAGTGTACCCATCATGGAAATAATGTACATTTGTACCGAAGTAATTTCTCATCACTCATCCTCCTTTCATCCCTGCTTTAGAATCTCTGTTGTCTATCATTCCATACTCTGTGTTGACGCATACACATTATTTAACTCCCATTTGTAAGTGAAAACATGTGGTATTTGTCTTTCTGTTTCTGAGACCACGAGTTTGAGACCTCACTTCTGTTTTAAATAAGAGCAACCTGTGACACAGAGAAGTTGAGTAGAGGCTAAGCCTGAATTCATACAGCTGGCAAATGATGGAGCCAGGATGTCAGCCATGGCAGTACGGCTCCAGGGTCCATTCTGTTCCCACCACACTACATTTTCCTGCCATTTTGATCAATTTCACACAAGGCAGCACTTATAATAATGGCTAAAGATGATGTGACTTGGTAGACCTGTCTTATTAAGAGATAAAATTTATATTTATTAATTTAATAAATTTATCAACTTAATGAATATTTGAATGACCATATCAAATTGGTTTCTAAAATATTTCTAGGTATATACCTATAAAGTTTGGAAGGATAATTAAAACTTAGCTCTGTCAAGGAATGTTAAGTTGAGCTTTATGAAATTATAATTTTGTGTTAAAACACAGCTGGATATCACCGCTTCATAGGGTCCAATATAATTTTAATAACAATCGGTACTTAAGTATTACTGTCCTAGGTATTTTATAAAAGTTAACGATATTCTTAACCTAACTTCACTATAAATGCATGAAAAGTCCCTGCTTTTTGCTGCTATGCTATTACATGGGTTTAGGCATTCTAGAAGTTTTATCATATAGCTTGTTTATAACTTCATCCATTTTTATGGTACGTCATATAGTTGTCAAATGTATCCAAGCTAGGTTGAATCCAAATTTCTACAGCGTATTAATGGCAAGCCCAAATAAACCATTTTACTTTGCCCTGCACAGGGAGCTCATAGCTTCAAACTCCTTCTTTGCTGTACCCCAAAGAGTCTGAAGTCATTTTTTAGGCCTTCTTCAGTCTCGTGAATCTTGTTTTCCCAATTCCAGCCTTCTCAAAAAGCTGCTGTAGCCCCAATATCATTTTTTTAAATTTAAAATTTTAATTTTTATCACATAAAGGTATATACAAAATTGGTATAAAACTACCACCATCTGTGGTTTGCAACGTGACCTGGGTCAGTTTACATTAAATGTCCAAATTTCAATTTTTGTTTATTATTCTTTAAGTTCTGGAATACATGTGCAGAACGTGCAGGTTTGTTACATAGGTATGCATGTGCCATGGTGGTTTGCTGCACCCATCAACCCCTCATCTACATTAGGTATTTCTCCTAATGCTATCCCTCCCCTAGCCTCCCAACCCCTGATAGGCCCCGGCGTGTGATGATGTTCCCCTCCCTGTGTCCATGTATTCTCATTGTTCAACTCCCACTTACGAATGAGAACACATGGTGTTTGTTTTTCTGTTCCTATGTTAGTTTGCTGAGAATTATGGTTTCCAGTTTCATCCATGTCCCTGCAAAGGACATGGACTCATCTTTTTTTACGGCTGCATAGTATTCCATGGTGCAATGCCACCCATCTAAAACGATCTGATCTTTGACAAACCTGACAAAAATAAGCAATGGGGAAAGGATTCCCTATTTAATAAATGGTGTTGGGAAAACTGGCTAGCCATATGCAGAAAACTGAAACTGGACTCTTCCCTTATACCTTATACAAATGCTAACTCAAGATGGATTTAAGACTTAAACATAAGACCTAAAACCATACAAACCCTCAAAGAAAACCTAGGCAATACCATTGAGGACATAGGCATGGGCAAAGACTTCATGACTAAAACACCAAAAGCAATGGCAACAAAAGCCAAAATTGACAAATGGGATCTAATTAAACTAAAGAGCTTCTTCATAGCAAAAGAAACAATCATCAGCGTGAACAGACAACCTACAGAACGGGAGAAAATTTTTGCAATCTATCCATCTGACAAAGGACTAATATCCAGAATCTACAAAGAACTTAAACAAATTTACAAGAAAAAAACAACCCCATCAAAAAGTGGTCAAAGGATATGAAGAGACACTTCTCAAAAGAAGACATTTTTGCAGCCAACAAACATATGAAAAAGAGCTCATTATCACTCGTCATTAGAGAAAAGCAAATCAAAACCACAATGAGATACCATCTCATGCCAGTTAGAATGGCGATCATTAAAAAGTCAGGAAACAACAGATGCTGGAGAGGATGTGGAGAAATAGGAACACTTTTACACTGTTGGTGGGAGTGTAAATTAGTTCAACCATTGTGGAAGACAGTGTGGCGATTCCTCAAGGATCTAGAACAATAAATACCATTTGATCCAGCAATCCCGTTACTGGGTATACACCCAAAGGATTATAAATCATTCTACTATAAAGACACATGCACACGTATGTTTACTGCAGCACCATTCACAATAGCAAAGACTTGGAACCAACCCAAATGCCCATCAGTGATAGACTGGATAAAGAAAATGTGACACATTATCATTTTTAACCATGCTCAAATAGAACAGAGACAGGGTTTTATTTGTTTTGAAAAAATATAAATGTTTAAAAGTACATAGAATCCAGTGAGGTCCAGGTTAGAAGAGAAGTCTTACACTGCAGTTCCTCCAGCTAGACAATTTGTTCAACTAGGTCCAGCTTCTTCCCAAGCAAGACCTCCTTCTTAGTCCCTTACACATTTTACATTTCCCTCTAATTTCAACATGCTTCCCTTTCGCAAGCAGTGTGAGAGATCAGCTTCTTGGCTTCTACTGAAGTCAGTATTACTCTCCAGCAACACACTCTAGGTACCCATTTTGATGTAAGGCCGCCTAAGCAATCTGCGCTCATGTACAGAGATTTTTATTCTCTCTAGACTACAAAGAGCTCCTCCTACTGGGTTCCATGGTCCTGAATAGTCTTCATGAGTTCCATGAAATCCTTGAAATTTTATGTATTTGTATACAGGTAAATTTTACTTAAGTGACTCTCCAACTGTCATCAAGTGCTGAAAGAGGCATTTTAACACCCCCCCCCCCAATATTATAATAAAAGATATCCCATACCCTGGGCCCAAAGATCAATGAAAGAAGAGACATCTAAATTTGGAAGAGTTGTTTCCTTCTATTACTGAAGTTACTTATTCTTAAAATTTCTGTTTGAAGAAACCTATTTAAAATGCACATGTAATTTGTCAAAATGTCTTTCAAAACCTAGAGGACAAAATTATGAGATTAGGTATATATTACTTCTTACTGCCACAGTTGAAAACATGAGGAAAACACGATGACTATTAGTGCATGCTTAAGAACTTTAAATCTGAACAAGAGGACCACACATTTAACAAACTTAAAGAAGAGCTAGGGATTCTCAGCCCAGTAATTTCTTTCAAAATAACTTCATCTCTCTGAAAGTTAGAACAATGACTATAAAGCAAATAATATGCACATGTATGTAAATGGAGAATCTATTCTCTCATAGACCTCTTCTACATTTATTGTCATCTTTTACTTTTGGAACCCTGAATCCTTTGAGGAAGACAAGAAAATCCAAGGAGAAGACTTTAAAATGGTACAGAATCTATACTATTAGTAAGCATCTTTAATTTAAAGCAGGTCACAAGAAACATAGAAGAGTGCCATAATTTGAACTGGATGAAAATTGGCATGAAATGTAACAACCAGCAACATGCTTCTACTTTTTACTATTAGGAATGCTATATTGGACCGGTGACCTACTTTTCTACATAAGTTCCCAAAGCTTTGCTTTTGCAAGTCAATTGACTAGAACACAGTGGGTGAGACTCAGGGATTTTGGCACAGAACCCTACTAAGGGGCATTCCTGGCTTTGGCCAAATGACAGACAACAGATTTCAATTAGATGTGCTAAATAGAAACTATTAAATAAGACACCAGGAAACAGGAAGTGCTAATACAATGCAGTTCCGAGGAGACTACTTTAAAGATAGGGTTCTATATAGTTCCAGGGAAAAATCTACCTGCATAATTTTTAAAGCAATATAGAAAAGCTGTGTATACTCTATTTAATGACAAGTGGCCCTTTTAATTGTATACAAATGCAAAAAGGCATAGTCACCAAGGCACAGTCACTAGGAAACAACTGACCTTAAACTTAGTGTTCCTGAAAGATTCCAAAACTTTATGTCAAAAGATCATTTTTCCCATCCTTATGTGTGCCTGCTGAAGATGGAATGTTTCATACAAGATGTAAGACACCGCAGAGTTCATACTAATATTTAGACACATCCCTCCTTCAGATTTGAATGAAACGCTCGAGCAGGAATTTGGCAAATTGTCTCTGGTGTCAATTAGTGTTTAAAAAACATGGTGTATGTTTTCATACTTATAGATTCTGACAAGAGTTGAAGAGGGTTTTATTTCTTCTAATACCTATGTTTATGAGTTGACAGTAGTGATGGCTGTAATTTTATTTATTGTAAAATAAAAGTCAGCATCAAAAAACTAATATTTACATGTAGCTTTGATTATCCAGATAGACCCAGCTTTAGATAGCCAATCTTGACTTCCTTCCTTTTCCCATTGTGTAGACACTTTTTAATTACTGAGGATGTGATGAAAATTGCCACTTCTACCTAACGGAGAGATGATGAATTTCATTTTTATGAACTGATATTTGAACTGGTCAAAAAGTATCAGAGTTTTGTCCTAATGTTTAATGTAAGTCTCTAATGGATGCATAGCAGATGCTAACTTCAGAAGTCAATTTTTCTGCTGTTGTTTCAATAAAATGATTAACGCCAGGTGCGGTGGCTCACACCTGTAATCCCAGCACTTTAGGGGGCTGAGGCAGAAGGATCACTTAAGCCCAGGAGTTTGAGACCAGCCTAAGCAAGATGGTGAGACTCTGTCCCTACAAAAATAAAAAATAAAAATAAAAAAATAAAGAAAATGATTAAAATTGTTCTTTTTATGTGCTCTAATATGTTCAGATAGACATAAAGCTCACACCATTTTTTCATACAACTGACAATATTCAACTCTTCATTTTTTCCTAATCATACTCGTATATAAATCATAGTGTGCGGCAACAGTGTTTGGAGATGCAAAACTGAATATTGTTATTTTGTTCACAAAAAGGTGAAAAGGAAACTGAAAGTTAACATGATGATTGACCACTCTTCATTTCTTGGAAACTTGGCAAGGTCATTTCTATTTGCTATTTTCCATTAAATTAAATATTAAACAAACTCTATGTGGCTAAATAAAGTAAGAACAGTGGTTTGATACAAGTCATCTAATCCCTTTATATATAAAGTAAGGAATCTGGGACCCATGAATGTTGATTGTCAGAAAGGCTGACTTAGACATTTAGCTCCATATAAAATTCATGTCTGTTACCTTAACAAGAGACCGTTTCAGGAGAATGTGCCAAATTACTAATTAAAGAATGTCGGTTCATATAGCACTTTCCAAAACTCTTCCCCTCCTTTAGGGCCAAGGTAAAATCCTAACTCACCAGTGAATCTGATTTTGCCATACTCAGTATCCCTCCTCTGAGAGCTTAGTGAACTTGTGCTCAACACCATCCCATTTTGTACCAATGCATTTTTGGTGTGTTTATTTCCCTAACTAGATTGTTTTTATTTCCCTAACTAGATGTCAGTCTCCTGAGAGTCTGTACTTTGCTATGTCTCTGTCTTCTGTACAGCACTTTAATGTAGGGCTAAGGATAGCAGACAATTAACCATTCTTAATTAACACTTGTGAAATAATAAAATTGGAATGCATCCATGGGCTACTAAAAGAAAAGCCAGTGATAAAAACACTTATCCTCTGATTTAGAAATAGCTTCTGAAATAAGATGGAGAAAAATGGATTGAGGAGTTTCAGTGAAGTTGAACAGGTAACAGCTAATGGGCGTATAGCATTTTTCAATTTACAAAGCACTGGTCACACACATTTTCTCATTTAATGTAAAACCCACCGCGAAGTGAATATCACCATATAATTTCATGATAGCTCTAAGGATGAAGTTCTTTTTTGAGCAGAAAGCCCTGGATTGGTTGTTACAGTAGGCAAGTGAGGGAATCCTCACAATAGTTACCAGCTCAAAAAATAAAGTTTCATTCACTTAGTGTTTCCACATTCGCTTTTTCGAGCACACTCATAATATTTAAAGTATGTATAAACTAAGGTACAGATAAGAATCAGGCAGAGATCAATTCCAAAACTGCCAGATGTGTGTGTGTATATGTATATATATATATATGTGTGTGTAGCACATAGACATACACACACAAACATATATATATGTATATATTTATATATGTGTGTGTGTGTATGCAGGTAAAGATCAATGTATATATTTATACATGTGTATTTAAATATCTATTATATATACACATATTGATCTCTGCCTATATACACATACACACATACACACACATAAAATCATAAAAACTCTAGAATTACAGATTCAATGTTTCTAAAATATGAATAGATATTTTATTCTAAATCATATTTAGGCATTCACACCAATAAAATATATTTAACCAAACTCCTATATAATACCTGTACATTTGTAAATCATCACTTTTATGGGCAATAAAGAAATTAAAAAAAATCTTGAATAAAGATGGCTGAGCATATTCTTTTCCTATATATCAGTATTGAATAACACCAAACATCTGGATATAAAGTGAAATATTCAACCTTCCATATGCTTCCAAATATCCAAATGGTTAGCATCATGAACACATAAAATTATAATGTAAGGAAAAATTGATACAGAAACTTATTACATAAAATGCAATATCTGAATCATTCTGTTAAGACATTTGAATTCAAAAAATGTTTATATTACAATGTTTAAGAAAATAAGCAAATACTTTATATCACATCCAGTAATTGCCATATTTCACACACCATACCACATTCTCACATCCAAATAAAAGACACATATACAAACATCTCTAGGGCAGAAAATGATACATTTCAAAGGGGGTTCATGCACAGTAATAGTTTATTTTAAAAAGATAAAAGCATCAAGGACTGGTGTATAGGTTTTTAAGTGGAACTATACATACTCAACAAGGATCAAGATCAAAGAGTATTTAAGAGGTGTCTTTTGCTTTCCTTCATTTTTTGTTTTTCTATTCTACAGAAGGATGAAGTGGGAGACTATCTGGGAGAGCTCACTAGTTCATAAACAGGCTCACTTGTTTATGAGAGAGGCCATAGATACCAAAATCCTTGCAATGAGGGTATTCAGTTTAACCAGAGAGCAGCACACTATGGCCCCAGGGCAAGTCTAGCTCTTTCTGTACAGCAGTGAGCTAAGAATGGTTTACTACATATTTTAATAGTTGAATAAACGGAAAGAACAATGTTTCATGATACACAGAATTATATACAATTATATACAATCCAGATTTCAGTGTCCATAAATAAAGTTTTATTGTGACACAAACATACTGATTTATTTACATACTTTTAATGGCTGCTTTCCTGCGACAGAGGCACCACTGAGTAGTTGCAACAGAGATCATGCGCCCACAGCCAGAAATATATACAATTCACTATCTTGCCTTTCACAGAAAATGTTTGCTGATCCTTGGCTTAAACCAATAAATAACTAAAAGTTGGAACTTTTTCTTTGTTATTTAAATAACCTTGCTAATAAAAATGGTGGGGCATGGAATATACGCAATAAGAGGTACTCATTTACAATGTAAAAAATCTTTAAGTCATTTCTGTATAAGCTCCCAAAGATATTGTTTATAGATTGCTTTTCAATGAAATATTAACTCCGAGGAAATAATAAATGAAAAAGTTAAAAGCTAACTCCTCCTCTGCCTGCCTGATTAGCTTCATAAATAATAAGCTCTTTTCTCTCTTTCTCTCTCTCTCCTCCACAATATGGGAAGATATTTGAGATTTATGTAGAAAGCTTTGGCAGCCTTTTAAAATTTACTTGGATGGGGAAATAAATCAAATTTGGGGCCCTTTTTTTTTTCTAAGAGTAAATTACTTGTGACTGAATAACTGGTGGGTTAGAGAAACAGGCAGGAACATGGTATTTCTATTATACATAGGTTTGCTGTGCATGATTTACATTATTTCATATTGCAGTACCTTGGTTTTCATTTTTGATTACCTAATTCGATTTTGATTCTTTTGTGCATTTTGTCAGTGTTGCATGCTAAGCCTTGTGGCTGTCTGGATCCTTTATGGCATGAAAAAGGAGAGGGAATCTCTTTTTACAGGAGATAAATTAATAGAGATGGAATTATATATTTCAAATAACCTCTCTTAGGCTGGGCATGGTGGCTCACGCCTCTAATCCCAGCACTATGGGAGGCCAAAGCAGGCAGATCACAAGGTTAGGAGATCGAGACCATCCTGGCTAACACGGTGAAACCCTGTCTCTACTAAAAATACAAAAATTTAGCCACATGTGGTGGCACATGTCTGTAGTCCCAGCTACTCGGGAGGTTGAGGCAGGAGAATTGCTTGAACCTGGGAGGCGGAGGTTGCAGTGAGCCCAGATCGTGCCACTGCACTCCAGCCTGGGTGACAGAGCGAGACTCAGTCTCAAAACAAAACAAAACAAAACAAAACAAAAAAACCTGTCTTAATAATGAAGCAAATTAACATTTGGGTTAAAGAAAAACAAAAGCAGTAGTTTGTTTGGGGTAGTGGAGAAACGAGTAGTTAGAAATCGAGACAATTAATCCTAGTTCTGCAATTATTCATGAGATAACCGTAAGCAAACTACATCACCCGTCCCAACCTCGGTTTCCTTGTCTATCAAATGGGAGATGGGGTTAGCTGAGGCTTCCTTTGGCTCTAAAATTCTATATTTCTAACTATGTGTTCACCAGTTAATTTATGAGAACATAATGAGCCTATTCATCACTAGAAAATGCCTTTTCCATCTCAGATGCTGGCTAGAAATTATAGATGCACTCTTTGTTTTTCATTTTTCATTTAAAATTCGGGTAGATGTAATTAATCCAGGACTGAGGAGACCCGGGTTCTCCTTCCACTGACCTGATGCCTGTCTTTGGATAATAGGAGACCCCACTACATGGGTGTGATAAACCCCGTTCTACTGACCTCACCAAGTTTCTAGGAATTTTGTATTAAATCACAATATGAACACGGCAAAATAGAGGAACATAGTATCCTGCAAATATGCAATCTGGAGAGGAATATGTTCATCTCACTGCCAATGATAGGAATACTAGTAATCTTTCACCCATAAATAAGAAAAATATATGTGTGCATATGTAACATATAAATACATAATATGTATGTATAGAAAACAGTAGGTAAAGCAATTAGACAATATGTGTAGAGAAATTCTTAATGGTTCTACGAAGCTTTGCTAAATATAGCGTTATTCATAATAGCAAAATATTATTTTTCCAAGTAATAAATGTATTATCATAATAAATGTTAATTAATAGTAATATTAATAATAAATGTTATTTACACTAACAAAAATCTTATTTTTCTCAATAAATTGTTTTTCCCAATAATTTTTTCCAATAATGATATTAAATTTTCAATAATAAACAGTTATGTCTACATGAAGAAACTGTGATCATTCAAATGCTAATTATTAAAAGTTTGTATTAACATAGTATGAAAAGCTCACAAATTAAAATTCTGAAGGAAAACATAAGAACACAAATTTATATATAATATACTCACAACATTATTTATAAAGCAAAACAAAATGAACAAAAATATTTGATATTGAATTCTGCTGTGGCTCACGTTTGTAATCTCAGAACTTTGGGAGGCCAAGGCAGGGTGGATCACTTGAGGCCAGGAGTTCGAAACCAGTCTAGCCAACATGGCTAAAACCAGTCTCTACCAAAAATACCAAAATTAGCCAGGCATGGTGGTGGATGCCTGTAATCCCAGCTACTTGGGGGGCTGAGGCATGAGAATGGCTTCAATCTGGGAGGCAGAAGTTGCAGTGAACCAGGGTGACACCACTGAACTCCAGCCTGAGTGACAGAGTAAATTAGGTAGAAGAATTAGAGACATTTAGTTTTGAAAATTTAATTTGTGGAATGAATGAATTCAGACTTCTCACCTTTAAAAACTATTCCTAAAGTTTCTATGTAGTTGAGAAAGTAAACTTTATACTTTAATTTTGAAAGTAGTATATCAATAGTATTATTATTTAAAATAACTCATCATAAATATTCTAATGGAAGCAGATTATTATATAACAACCCCAAGGATCAGAAATTCCTGGTTTTCACAGCGCTGGCTCCCTGCCAGACTTGTGTCAATCATCTACCAAATAACTAATTTCACCAAACTTCACAAATAAGGTAATATATGTATCTGTTACTTTACATAATAGATTTATTCCTGAAGGTTTGGATAATCTAAGTACTGTTTTAAATGCATAATGGGACGCAACATTTAAAGAAACCCTAGGCGCTATCCTTTTGTAACTAAAAACCTCTTGTGATATGAATAACCATACACTAACATACTTTGTTAACTGTTTTCATACACTGGATTTGCTTGAAGAAAGATTATACTTGTGCTTTTCTAAGAAATGGGGCGAATATGTGTAAATATTTACACAGCATATAATTTATTATTAGATTAACTTAAAGAAAATAGCTAGTGATTTTAAAGTTTGAGCTGATTGTAACTTAAAAAGTTATCCTTACCGTGCTACGTATTTCAATCTATGAAGCAGTGTCTGTATTCCTATTTTAACAAATACACTGTGGTTGCTTGGTATCCAAAATGTTGTTATAGCCATTGGGCCAGTTCAGGTTCTTGACTTTGCCACACAGGAGAATTTGAGAGTTAGTCCAAAATACAAATAATTCCTCATAAAACGAAAGTACATTCTGATGGCTGATCAGAGGGAGCTGCTCAAAGGTGAGACGGCGGCACCAATTGACACTGGGGAAACTCCCTTTATGGGAGTATGTGCAATTATTCATGAGGTGGGGGGAAGGAGTGTTGCCATTAAGCATGTTCTGGGTGGTCTCCTGGGGGTGCATGTGCTATTGTTGTACATGCTAGTACATACGTTACATGTCTCATTAGCATCTCAAATTTCCATCCAGGGGTGAGATTTTTACTGTGAAAATGAAGGACACTAATCATGAGTTCTGCCCTTGCATGAATTGGGGTATTTTCCTTTCTGCTCTTCTACCTCCTTGCTGCAGGATGTTCTAACCATGAGCACAGAATGTGGTTTGTTCTCTCCATCTATTTACCAAGTTTGTTCTCCTTCAAGGGAAGCTATGACCACTCTATCTAACCTACCTACCATTATCCAGAGGAAATCATATTCTATGTTGTCTTTATGTTTTTAGACATTTTCATGGCTACTGAACCCATCTATAATGGGTTCTAGTACAAACTACCATTAAATGTATAATATAGTTATGGCAATGATTCTACGGGAAGTTGTTTTGTGTTACAACTTTGGACTCATAAGTTACGAACAAGTCTCCTCTGGGGCACCACCTCAGCAACAGGAATTGAATATTCTAGCCAAGGTAGCGATTTCTATGAGGAATGTATAGGATTGGTATTTAGGGGCTACATCTGTATTATTCTTCTCCCTGGACTTAGGAGCAGCTTATACAGTTCCTGGAAAGTATTTCAATGAAATTTGATTCAAAATAAATTGTATATTCTTCACTAAAAGGATAGACACCAATGGATGTAATGACTCAATGAGCCATAGATATCTCAGTATTAGAGCAAACATTCACACAATGATGCATAATGACTGTGGGTAATGGGATGACTCCAGAGACATCAAGAAGAGTTATTAATGAATAATTATATTACATCAATTTGAAGAGGAATAAATGATTTCTAAAAATACCAGAAATAACACAGTCTATAAAACATCCTTTAAGTAATGACTTGTTCTTTTCCATTAAGGTTAAATGAATCGAAATCAGATGCTATCCTTTTGTTTGATATAATTAAATAATAACAGATTTTTTAAAAAACAGTCTTCTTAGAACGAAATTACCAAACCAAAATCTGTACTAAAAAGCAAACCTGAGTCCTTCTGCTTCCTGTGTGCATTATTAATGGCCAATATCAAAATATCCATGCTCCCAGTCTTCACTATATTCTTTTTGCCACTGTAGAAATATAGATGTGCAAAACAGAAGTGAATAGATCATCTAGTTCATTCTTCTTTCAGCTTATAGGGCTCTACTGGCATAACAAAAGAAAAAAATGTACATTGCTTTCTTCTTATAATTCTGTATTCACTAAATTAGGAAACATCGACTGACTCTAATGTCCATGCTATTCATTCTTCAAATCATTAATACATAGCAAATTGAATTAGAACTCAACATTTGCCTGAAATTCTCCACAGCACATGACCCTAGAAAAGTTTTTACTGTGGATGATAATTTTAAACCTTGTTAGTCCTCCTTCAGGTTTATGTTAGTCCAAATTTTCTTTGACCAACTTTTAGACGATATCTAAAATACCTACACTGCTCTTCGACTGTGAGTTTTCTTTGTCAAAACCTATTATGACAGACTCAGAAATGTTCAGGTATGATGACACTTTAAAAGCCAGCTAGCACAACACTCTACTGACAATAGTTTCCTCCATAAAGTTTTTACCTGGTACAATGAGACCAGCAAGTCTTTATTAGCTCACCCCCACCTTCCACCTTCAGTCTTTTGAACTCAAAAGAAGTTAGCTTAGAGTTTACTTATGCCAAGCCTAAATTCTATCTTTTATCTTTCATTCATTCACCCTAAGTCTACCCTTCAATTCTATTCAAATTAATTAATTCCTTTTCTTCATGACCACTTTTCATATATTTAAGAGCAGAAACTATGTCCTCCTGAGTCTTTTCCTTTTCAGATCTTATACACATTTCTTAAATGAGAGGACTAAGTTACTTCACCATCCTGATAGTGAGCCTGTGAATTTACTTTAATTGGTCTGTAAATGTCTCTGAGAATTTGTCATGGAAGACATATTCTGGCCAAAACACAGAAGAATGAGACCATTGTCTCTATCATGCTAGGTATCCCTTTCCTTTATTTATGTAATCTAAATCACATTAGCTCTGTGTTATTGTTGAACAACATCAAGTTTAGCACCAACTAAAATCCCCAATCATTGATTTTTCACGTTTCTGCTAATACAGGCCTTTTTCTGATCTGTCACTGATCTTTTGTAAAGTCAAAGTCAGGACTGTGTATTATTCATGTTAAAATTTAAATTTCATCTTGTCAGATTTCAACAATTCTTTCAGCTAGTCAATCAATATCAGTTGGAAGCTGGAAAATGTCACTCCAAGTCAAGTGCAGCCCCTGCAACTTTATGTCATCTATGAGTTTCAGAAGCATTCATCCAGGTTGATGGAAATGTTAATCAGGATAAACAGGAAACCTGTGGCATGTCATGAAAATGGATAATGTCTCATTAATCCCATCCTTTGGGCATTCCTTTATTACTAACCCACTAGTTATCTTTCTTTAGAGTTTATATCTGCCATTTTTCCTTTAACTTGAGGCCATTTCTACTTTGTGATCCAACAATGCCTAATTAACCCTGATAACAGTAACAGCTAACATTTACAGAGCACTTGTTTCACTTAATACAACCATCTTTGACCTAGTCTCCCTTATTATCCCCATTTTATGGATAAGAACACTGAAAATTAGAAGGTAAATAACTTTTTCAAATGGTACAGCTGGTGTACTATAGAGAGGGAATTGAACCTAGCATTATTTCCTCCTGGCTCTGTACTCTTTCTTAAAGTCACTATCACATGACAACTTGTAATGTGGCACTGTGTGACATATATCATTATGTCTTCATTATATGCCTTTGCATGTGCTGTTTTTATATGACTTTGCATATATTGTTTCCTCTGAAATGGCTTTCACATCTGGTCCATATGGAAAACTCCTATTCATCCTTAACCAGCACAAACAGCATCCTTTCTATTAATCCTCCCCTACTCTCCTCTAGACCCCCTTTGAGCTCTATAATTGCCCTCCTTACACTGTCATTATTGTCTACCATTTTTGGCTTCCTTCCCAGAGTGTGCACTCACACTGGGAAGACAGGGTTCCTCACTCATTCATCTTTGTATTCTCAGAAATTCACACAGTGCCTGCCTCTTGGAGGTGCATAATAAATGTTTGTTGAACAGAAATTCATGTTTGGCAGTGGTTCATTGATCCATTCTCTTTGTGTCGCCTGGTCAAGCTGACTTGAACTCATTCAGGGCAGCTTCAAAACTTATACCACTTCACCCTCCCACTCCATCACTTCAGTCCCTGCTTAGCCTATGTCTTTACAGATATTTGTTCTATGATGGTCAAGTCAAAAGGTCTTTTGGTTCTTGGAGAGGAAACACAGATAGGAAAAAGTGAGTGATCTGCTGTCTCTCTGGCATCCCTTGGTATTACACCATCAGCTGCTTAAAGCATATATGTGTGTGTGTGTATATGTATATATGTTTGTATAAGTATGTATATACACATACATGTGCATCTATATATACACATACATTTCTCTCTAATCAGAAGTGACCTGAGAATTTTAAAAACCTAAACTCAAATTTGGAATATTTAACCCTTTACTATCAGATTTCTGCCGTTTTGGAATGAACTAAATGTGTCAAAATCTTAATGTTGAATTAAAAAAGACATTTCCCTTTGAACCTTTAAACCCAATAATGCTGTAACCTGCAGCCTGTGAAACTGCATATGATTTTCCTCCACTTAAATGCTTAGGTACAAATAGACATTATGTTTAAAATATTTTTTGGTGTATGTGCTATTTTTCTTGTATACATATCATCAGTGAAAAGTGTGAGAAATACTTTTTTCTTTTTTCCTTTAGCCCATTTATTTCTTTACATGTAGCCTACATCTACACATGTCAATTAGAATTATCAAGTCAATTAGATAATTTCAAGTCAATTAGAATTATCTTAATTACTAAAATAAATGAAGACAATTTTTTTGCCTTAAGCCAGTTAATTAACTGCCTTGATTACTCATTGCATTAGTAGCACGTGGAAAAATTTGTAGACAATTAGGTAAAATATCCAAATAGTTGCACTGAATCTTGCTAGATGCTTTTACTGTCCCCAAATTTTTAAAAATGAACTCATATAGTTTGATAAATATACACTTCTTATCCATTCTGTTTCTTTATAAACAGCTTAACTTTTTCATTTAAAAAATTCTGTTCTTTATTGACTGCCACATTTTTCTCATACCCAAATCAACTTTAATTGTTTCCAACCTATTCAACCTTCCCTTTAAAACTGTATCCTCAACTCAGGCCCTAGGATGCACATATCTCAAGAATGGTTTTGAATGGTACCGGAAATCACATAAGAGGTTTCCTGTGATAACAATTCCTTTTCTTGGAAACAAGGTCCTTCGAATGGCCTATGCTTTCTCTGGTCATTTTGCTTTGCCCTCCTAATTCCTGTGGGTCTCCTCCTAATGTTAAAAGTAGAATCTACCTGCCTTTGACCTTCAGCACATGTACCTATTTTCATGTACCTACCTATCAATCCGCCACTTTTTGTAAGCTCTGTATCTGTATGTGTTCTACTATTAGATGAGTGGTTTCTCACTTGGAATTACTTGTTTCAATGATTTATTTCTCTAGGCCTATAGGCTTTGATATCTAGAAGTCCAGGCAAAATCATTACTACCTTCTGTTTCTCTTACATGCATCAATACCCCCCACACCAAATCCACACACGATTCCAATATACATATTCCAATACAACAAAAGGAAGATAGAAACTTCATCTGCAGCTCAACCATTGGAATAGACAATGCTGCTCATGGGGATAGTTGAAATCCATGATAGGCCACCAAAGCTGACTGTGGTGCCTCTTTCCATCTCTCCTCTACTAGAAATAGTAATTCATGCTGCAAAGTGTGTGTGTGTGTGTGTGTGTGTGTGTGTGTGTGTGTGTGTAGAGGAGAGTAAGGGGTGATAAAGGGAGGCTGCATGACCTTTCATAAGTTATTCTGTATTATCATTTCATGAATTTGAGTAGCTCATTCATTATTCAAAGCCTGCTTGTAAAAATGAGCAGTGTTACTACTAAAAATGTAGGAAGAACATCTTTCCCTCTTTTGAACTTCTGGATCATTGTCTTATCTATGGAAATGCTTTTAATCTTGTTGATTCTTCTGTTTTTGTTAGCACAACTTTATGTTCTGAAGTGTGAGTATTCCTTCAAAGGTAATCATATTACTATAACAAGCTATGGTAGAGCGTCACTGAGGTTTTCTTTATTTTTCTCCATTTGCTGTGTCCTCTTCTTAAATGCTTTACTATCAATTTCACTGTCAAGTTGAAGTTCATTGCCACTATTAATATTTCAGAAGTATGATTCTACCTTGCTACCTTTTTCTTTTCTATTCCGAGCCCTCCTACATAGATCGTACCCAACAGGGCTGACATTTCAATTAAGAGAACATGCCTGCCAAGTGCCCATTATGTCCGCTCTGCCATGATCTCCATCATTGGCACACAGTTCTAGTACTTTTGCCACTGACCACATTCTCTGCTTGTTGGATAATTTTAAAATACTCTTTTCTTTGACCTTGTTTTATGCTGTAGACAACAGTATTGTTTCTGAATTTGAAAAGTAGAAACATTTTATTCACAAAGATACAAATACATTTGTCCCTAACATCTGCACATGTACCTCTTATTCCAGGTTATCATTAGCATTCATTTTTTTAAAAATAAACTTTTAAAAATAGTAAAATAATAAAAATAATAAAAAATAACATTTAAAAATTGTTTTAGATTTACAGAAAAGTTGTGAAGATCGTACAGAGTTCCCATACACCCCACACCTATTTTCTCCCATTATTAACATCTTACACTAGTATAGTGCATCTGTTACACACTTTGCAGCATGAATTACTATTCCTAATAGAGGAGAGATGGAAAGAGGTACCACAGTCAGCTTTGGTGGCCTATCATGGATTTCAACTATCCTCATGAGCAGTATTGTCTATTCCAGGGCTTAAGTTGCAGACAAAGTTTATATCTTCCTCTTGTTGTATTAGGATATGTACCTTGGAGCCTTGTGTGGATTTGGTGTGTGTGTCAGGGGGCAGTATTGATACATGTAAGAGAAACAGAAGGTAGTAATGATTTTGCCTGGACTTCTAGATATCAAAGCCCATAGGCTTAGACAAATAAGTCACTAAAACAAAGAATGCCAAGTGAGAAACCGTTCATCAAATAGAACACATACAGATATCGAACTAATATGGATATATTGTTTTAAAATAAAATCCATACTTTATTCAGATGTCCTTAGTTTTGTTTTTTTTAATCTCTTTTCTGTTCAGGAGACCACGTTACATTTAATCCCCATGTCTCCTTAGGCTCGTTGTGCCTGTGACAGTTTCTCAGACCTTCCTGGTTTGTGATGACCTTGACAGTTTTAAGGAGGACTGGTCAGGTGTTTTGTAGAATGTTTCTCATTTGGGTTTTTTTCTGTTATTTTTCTCATGATTATGTTTGGGCGATGTTTTTTTTAGAGAGAAAGAACACAGAGGTAAAGTGTCATTCTCATCACATCCTACAAAGGGTACATACTATCAACATGACCTATTGCTGTTGATATCCACCTTGAACACTTGGCTAAGGTGATGTGTGTCCTATTTCTCTACTATAAAGTTACTTTTTTTGGTCTTTCCATAGGTTACTCTTTGGAATTAAACACTACACTGAGGAAGTGCAGAGTCATGCTCTACCTCATTGAGAAAGGGGAGTATCTACTTAGATTATTCAAAATTCTTCTGCATAACATGTAGAGTTATAAAGAATAAATGAGACAATTTCTGTAAAGGAAAAAAAAAAGCAGTGCCTGGAAAAGAAAAAAAGTATAAAATAAATGTTAGCCATACAAATCATAGTTTATATTCTAAATATCAGGTAATGTCATGCATGGCAAAAGATGAAACTCTGTGTTAGTAAGGCTGCTTGATAAAATAGGAGATGCTACTACAAAAAGATGAAATTAACAATTCAAATGAATGTCCTAGACCATGGTCAGTTACCTTATTACTCTAGTATTCTATTATTCACTCTAGTAGTGGTGGTAGGAATGAGGCTACAGGAATAGGTAGAAAAACACTGGTTCACCGTGTGGAGGACAAGTCATTAGCACTTCTTTTGTTGGGTCTTTAGGAAGGAGGTACAAAGACAAATTAGTCGGAGGGGGAAAGTTGCTTATGAGCAAAAAGTGGACTGTGCTTATAAGGTAAGTGTCCAGACAGGAGACAAATGGGGATAAGAGAATAGCAACTGCATGTGATAGAAGGAGCTGGTTAGAAGAGGGGAGAAAAATATTTAGATGGAATGTATCAAAGCTAGAATGTCCGTATCTCCAGTGTACACAGGGTGTCTCTAGTTGTCACATCAGGAATGAGATGCTAAATGCAGGAACTGACAGTGTATAACATGGCATGAATTAATTTTTATCTATATATTCTCTCCAAAATCCAATTAGGAGCTTCAAATACTAGATCAAATTCCATCACTGAAGGTTTAAGTTTGTAAAGACCATGAAAAGTGCATTCAGAGTCCCATATCAGAAAATTGCTCATATTGTGTTTAATATCTTAATCTCCTCTAATCACTTTTCAGTATCTCAGCAGTGATTTCTTCTAAAAGAAAAAAGGGAAATATGTGTAGGAAGAATGCAGTGCAGGGATATTTAGATCCAAGTATAGTCAAATCTGTGAAGAATGTTTCACAAAACTTTTTAGAATCTCAATGTCTAAACATACATTTTCTTCAGTATCTCATAGAAATGAGTAATTATATAGAAGCAGATACTTTATTGGGTAATACTGATCAAATCACTTACATTTTGTCTACAAATGGGAAATTTCTCCAGAATTTGAGACCCCAAATATTCCATCTGAATGTAAACATTTTTGCTGAAATGCCATCCAACACTTTCTCAGGATCTCCAGGCTGGGGTTCTGGGAGATTTCGCTGATGCCTGTATTGGCTGTGCCTTGCATTACACTAACCCAGTTTTCGAATTGAAAACCACTTACTTAGCTTATCTGCTCTCTCTTTCTAGAAGTTATTTCTGTGAAACAATGGCTAGCTTAGCAATTGCCCACTTTAACTGGATATATAACCAGCCTAGAACTGATGTGGACGCTTGTTGCCTACTTGAGATGCTAACGTTGACTAATTAGGGTGACCAAGCACACTGGTTTGCCCAGCAGTGCCCCTGTTTTAGCCTTGAAAGTCTTCTCTCCTGGAAAACCCCTCAGTCTCAGGAAAAGCAGGATGGTTGTTTACCCCAGCACTGATATATATGATGGGAAACACATATTAATTATTTACATTTAAGCCCCTGAGTCAGGGTGACTTTCACAACTTATTTGGAATATTGGCCTATATTAAGGATGGTTAAGAAAGTGTTGCCTGCATAATCATGGAAGCAACCATTCCTGTGTTTTCAAAAGGCAACAAATTGGAAATTTGAGTCCAATGTTGTAAAAGGAAAAGAAAAGAAAAGGCTATGTTAACAAATAAGACGTTAACATTAGGAGAGCTAATAGAAGGTTTTAGATATTCTGATCCAGCTTCCTTTCCAGCCTGTTCTTCCTGTTCTTTCTCTCCATACCTGAGGATAGAAATCAGCAAATTTTGGGCTGAGGGCCAAATCCAGCCTACTGCCTGTTTTGTAATTAAGGCTTTATTGGAACATAGCCATGAATCTTTATGGATTGTCTATGGTTGCTTTTGGGCTTTTGGGCTACATGGCAAAGTTGAGTAGTTACTCCAGAGATGGTATAACCTGAAGAGTCTATAATATTTACTATCCTGCCCTTTACCAAAAATGTGTCCCGATGATTGTCCTAGTAATTTATGGTCCTCCCTTTAACATCCCTGCCTTTGTTCCTTTGCTCATGCTGTTCCTTCACCTTAACATGCCCCCTCTTTTCATTTTTGTGTAACGAAATCCCAGTATGCCTAACAGGTCTTTTAAACTTTCATTTTCCCTATAAAGCCTTATAAGGCTTTCAGTTATGAGTATTTGTTCACTGGTCTTTCAAATGTCTAAACAACTCATCTCATGGTATATAGAGTTATTTATGTAACTGGCTTTGTTCACATTAACTATGAACATGCTGTGGGCAGAATTTACCTATCTATCTCCCACACTGCCTAATTTATCTTTACCAATAGGAACTCACTAAATAGCTATTGAATGCAGGTACACATTCAAATAAATGAGGGAGTGGAATGAGTGGACTAAAATTAATGCATATCCAGCAGCAATTGATAAACATATTTTCCTCCTTCTCCCAATTTACAATAGTTCCATGATCAAGGCAAGGTAACAACATTTTCGCTTTTAAGATTAAGAATTTTGTTTTAAAAGTCCCAATAAAATATAATGCTACATGGTTAAGTGCATAGAGCAGCTTGCCAATTTGGCAAGAATATCAGTTTGTGCCTGCAATTGGATGTCTTGGATAAGACTTGAAGATTATAGTCACGTCAGCATAAATTCAGTGACATTTTATTAGCATTTCAAAGGGATTCTAAGTTTACCTAATGATTTTAATGATGAGGAACTTTAGATTAAATGATTCTCATAAGGCAACTAGTTAGTTTCTCACACCAAATCCCCTGACTCCAGACGGTGTGCTCTTTTCCCTTCAGTGGCTTGGAAGGTCCAGACAGCCTCTGAGTATATCTCTATTAGCTGCCCGTGTTCTGACAGACTTCTAAATTGGATCCATCGTGCACAATTTGGTAGAAGCAATTTTTCTTTGGCTTTCTTTCCCCAAGCTACATGCAGTTCCCATCTGCTTTATAGGTTTACAGAGCATGAGAATTGGCCAAGCAGCAACCCAAGTGCCAATTGAAAAATAGAATGACATGGTACAAAGAGTTCACTACAAGGTCTCGAGATACCTGGGTTCCAATACCAGCTTTACAATTTACCAGGGATGATGATGATGATGATGATGATGATGATGATATTATTATTGATCACATTCTATATAATTTCTCTGGGCTTCAATTTCTCTGTTTGCAAATTGAGGGACTAGGCCCAGATGCCTCCCACGCTCTATCCAGCAGTAACATCTTTTCATCCTGTTACCATGCTAGGCTATGAGTCCCCTTCTGATAGGTGTCCCCAGTCAAGAACTGTCAGAGGTAAGTAGGTGTTGTCTGAGAGAGGAAGAAAAATCTACTTCATAAGCTCTGGACAACCCAGGCTGTGCTGCTCCCTACATATATGTTATTTGTTTCTACTTCTTTGCTGTATACTGTCGTGGCTTTGATCTTTCTTCTTTGTCAATCTAGGGTTCTCGTCTACAAATTCCAGATCTACACATCCCCAGGCATCCACACATCCCCATCAACACCACTCCTATTCTCTGTTTTAACTATAGATCTCCAGTGTACTTTGCTAACGTGATCTTATTTTGTATTAATTTAGTTTTCTAGCTATCTGGATTTCCTCTGTGTGTGTGTGTGTGCACGTACACCCATACATATATACATTTAGGAAGACACCTCTCGAATCAAGTGCAAGCCACATGAGGGTAGGAATCATTTTGTTTTGGTTTGTTAGAAATTCTTCATAGGACCTAAAATAGTATTCCACATATAGACATGCTAAGTAAGCAATGTGTATTTGACACTTAAATGACGGGCATTGGTGGTACATATTTAATTTCTTTACTCCTGACTGCATTTAGCCCAATATAAAATTGGAAAAGTTGTGTAACAAGTGGCCATTGAAGTAAGAAACTGTATCCAAATGGGTAGGGATGTGTAAGTAATAACAAACAGTTAGTACTATTTATTCCTGAATTCAACACTCCCTTATAGAAGGCACATGCCAGTCTACTGCTAACACATAAAGTGAGAAAATATATGACCCCTGGTCTCAAGATATGAATAATCTTCCCATGAAGCTGTTTATAGAAGTAAACTAAGAAAAATTCCCTTCTTCAAAGATGACCCTTATTACAATAACCTATGATAATCTCCTGGGACCTCAGTATATGTAAATTTATACTATTATCCGGGTACAAGGGAACTATTTCCTTCAATGTTCATTAAGCACTGTCCAATGGACCAATCCCCCTCATGGTGATACTGAACCTTTTACCTGTTTTTTCCCATAACAAAAGTTCTGGGAAGCCACCATTGAGAGAGCTGAACCGGCTTGAGGCTGTGAGCATCATTCAAAAAAGTTACACTATGATTGGCTCACAGTTGTGGAGTGACCAACCAAGAGAACCTGTCCACTTACCAGCTTCTGGGGATCACTGCAGGAAAGCATCAGGGCAGGCAAAAGCCTGCTCTCTTCAGCACTTCCTGATACAAGAAGGCATCCCTCCACCAAGGCAATCTCGAGAATTGCCCTCCAGGCCAGTACTTCCCCACAGTTCCCAGGGAGAAGCTATCAAGTCTGACCCAGTATCTCACATATCCTGATAAACTAAATCCCAAAAGCAACTCTTCCCCAAGGTATAAAAATTACTAAGAATGAGAGCGGTCCATGCTTCCACCATCTAATTGAGCATCTTATCTTCCCTGCAGGTTGGATGTTCCGTTGGTTTCTTAGAGCTATATTTTTTCCTTCTTATCCATTTATCACACACCTCTGAACTGCTAAGCATTCTTAAAAAGTTCTTAATTGTTCCATCTCCAAGCTGAGCTGCAGTGGCAATTGCAAAGGCATAATACAGTGCAGTATTTCTCTCAATAATCTAACCTTCATTAGGTTTAATGGGTGAGAATAATGGTTATAACTCAGGTGGAAAGAGAAACCTGCTACCTGTTGTGCCAAACTCTTAACTTTTCCAGACAACATTCAGTCAAACTAAGGGGGTATTTTTTTAAAAGACAGAATAGATATATCTATCAATCTATCAATCCATCTATCTATCTATATCTATCTATATCTACATATATTTTTTCCAGATGATACTGTAGACTTATGATACAGGTGGCTAAAGTCCCACAAGTTTCCTTTCTGCTCACTGTTCTAAAGCCTTGACATGCATGGAATAGCAGAGGAGAGCAAGAACTGGGGGTGTGAACTACAGCCCCAGCACACTGAGTCAACTGTTCTTGATATAAAATGTAACCTGTGTGATCATCAGCATTGATCACAGCAGGAAGCAGACAGCAGGGAAGGAATGTCTTGTGGTGCCACAAAAAAAAAAAAGAAAGAAAGAAAGAAAAACAGAAAAAAAAACTACCTGGAAGGAAATGCCAATGGGGATGACATTAAAAATAGACCAAATGACCATCTTGTTCCTTGGCTGGTGTCAAAATATTCAGTGCTTCAATTTAGTTATCACCAGGTACTCTTCCCCCAGCATGACAAGGTGAAAATGTCGGGAAGAGCCAATGACAGCAGGACAAAAATCCTCAGATGGTTCAAACGGAATAATGACTTGGCAAAATAAAAAGGAAAACAAATATCGTTCAATTCACATTCATGAAAGCTATTTTAGGCACGGGTGGGATAAGCATACATTTTTCTTTCTGTTCCTGTTCTCCTGTCCCTCAGAACAACAGGGCCAAATTAAAGCTTTCACAAGAAAATACAGTCAGCTACTACTGTGGCCAGTTTTGTTAATCACAGGTCCACAGATTTCAAAGTGTTCATGAGTTTTGAATTTTTGACAATTTTTCTTTTGTAAGCGTTTCATAGCATTTATCAGATTCTGAGAGAGACCTGTGACCTATTTAAAGTTGCAGTATCATTGTTGAAGACTGCAGTTTGCAGCTACTACAGAAACTGGTTCTGATAGGACACAGGTACACAGATGCCAGGAAGTGCCTCAACAGGATGCTCAGCTCAATGGGCAAGGCTAGGGCTGGATCCCAGCTCTGCTCTCTATTTAAGTTTTTGTCCTGGTATGGGAGAAGGGTCAGGGGCACCTTTTTGGTTTTTATCTGTTCAGAGGGGGCTCTGTTTTATACTTCATACGAGAGTGGTATATGGGACAAAGATGATCTATGATGGTTTGTCTTCACCTTTTCTCCACAGCCCCAAGGGTTTCACAATTATCCCATCAGCCCAAATCTGTTTCTTGACCACACAGTGCCTTTATTTGGAAAAGGATGTCCATTCTTCCCCTGTGATAGTCAAATAAGAATACTTTCTTGAATTACAGCAATTCAAGGTTGGTTTTTATTCTTGCTTACTCTAAAATTGCACTACTCAGTACAGCACGAATTAGACACAAGTAGCTATGGAGGAAATGTTGCTAGCCCAAATTGAGAAGAGCTGTTAAGTGTAAAATACACCCTGAATTTTGAAGGCTTAGTAGAAAAAAATGTAAAAACTTCTTATTAATAATTATATATTGATTTAATGTTGAAATGATAACATTTTAAATATATTGGGTTGAATAGGAGACTAATGCAATTAAAATAATCTATTTCTTCTACTTTTTGAATATGGTTATTAGAAATTTTAAAACTACACATCTTTCTCTGTTCACATTCTTATTTTCTATTTGGCAGCACTTCTCTTAAACATTCTGTCTAGCCTCTATTTGATAAAGAACTCAGCCTCCCCAGGGAGCCCAGGCTCTCTCCTGATAGATCTGACCAAGAAACTACTACTTCTCATACTGAGGTAAAAAGCTCTCATCTTAACCTCTAGTTTGAATTCATGGAACTAAAGGGCAGGTTAAGCCCAGCTTCGAATATTCAATAGCATTTAACACATTTTCCTATTTCTTCTCCAGGATAAACATTCACAACATCTTCAACTCATCCTTCTATGATAAATCTGCAATCCTGTTCCTAGTTGCTTTTTTTTTTAGATGGAGTTTCACCCTTGTCACCCAGGCTGGAGTGCAATGGCACTATCTCAGCTTACTACAACCTCCTATTCCCCAGTTCAAGTGATTCTCCTGCCTCAGCCTCTCGAGTAGCTGGGATTACAGGCATGCACCACCACACCCAGCTAAATTTTTTTGTAGTTTTAGTAGAGACGGGGTTTCTCCATGTTGGCCAGGCTGGTTTCAAACTCCTGACCTCAAGTGATCTGCCCACCTCGGCCTTCCAAAGTGTTGGGATTACAGGTGTGAGCCACTGCACCCGGCCCTGCTCTTCAACTTGGTCTTTTAGACTAGAATTCCAAAGAACTACCCCTGACCCCTTCAATTCATTACAATGTTTGATGGTTTTTTTTAAAACAGAAATTCTACAGTGTTTGTGACATCACAGCATACATGATTCTCCAACTGTATAGCTAGATATTTTGGTTCTGTGGCTTAATTTAAATTACTTTTGCTGACACTTACTTCATTTAAAAAATTTATTCAAACCTTAAAATGGTCATGTATTTCAACCATGCCTGTGTTGAACATTTACACTCATTTATTTTTTTTCAGCATTTTTCGAGTGGCTACTATTGAATTAAATATTTAGAAAAATTTTTCAAATTCAGAGGATGCATCCAAGATGAGAGGTGGATCATTCTGTAGTAAAAACTATACATTTTGTTGCATTTTTACTTCAGGAGCTAATTGAATATAACAAGATAGGTCCTAGTATAGATTTATTTTAAGTATAAAGGTAATGGTGTCATAAATGTAAAGGGACAGCTGTATTATAAATATATATATTTATTATATATAATATATTGCTAGCATATTGCTGAGATATTATATATTACATATTTGATATAATATAGTGTATATATTTTATATAGTCTAAGTCTTTTGCTTCTAAAAGGATTGTGTACATATATATATACACATATATATATATATATATATACACACACACACATCATATACTTTTAAGCCACTCTTCTCATGTCTAGATGCCATACAAGGAGCTTCCCAAAACAAGACCAAAGCCATAGATTCATTCATTATAAAGTGGAGAGGGACCAGGTCATATAAATTTCAGAACCACTGACACCATTTAACAAGAATATCAAGGATGAAAAGCCAAGTCCTGCTTCTTATCAAGGATTAAGTCCAGGGGAAGTTCTCCACGCTGTTCCATGAACAAGGCAAACTCATGCCCAAACCTTATAAAATATTGAGGTTAGAACGGATGCTTGTGCTTATCTGTCCATGCCCTTGATACTCCAGTTCTAAGAATAAGCACCCAAATGACTTTCCAAAGGTAATGATACTAGGACACAGAGGACCTGGGAGTAGAATTTAGATTTTTCTCTTCTCAGAATTATGAATGCTATCTCCATTCATCATAGAAAACAGAGGTTAAAAATTTTAATCCACCCAAGTTTATTATTATTTTTTGGCACTAAAGAGAATCATCAACAGTGTTGAGGGTAATGAGAAGATATAATTAAAATTATCTTCACAGCTCTGAGCTCAATTGCTTTTGCTCAATAGAGCAGAAGGAGAAGACCATCTGGTCCTTGAACAAGGATAAAATATGAGTGAGGTGGCCAAGAATGGCAAGAGGAACACTGCACTAGAAATATTAAGCTCCAGCTTCCCGTCTTGACTTATCCACTTGTATACGATGTTATCTGGGTATGTCACGTGAAATGACTGAGCCATCTTATTCTCAGCTGTAGAGGCAGTCACCTGTTTTACTTAGCTTACCGGATAGCTATGAGAATCAAACGGGACCATGACTTTGAGAAGACTTTTAGGACAATAAAACACTACTTTCATCCTTGATATTCTTGCTATCACCACCCAATTGCAATACAACCTCATGTTTGAGGCCCCAGAACACGTATTTCCCTCTAATAAAAGGCAGTTGAGGCCGGGCGCGGTGGCTCATGCCTGCAATCCCAGCACTTTGGGAGGCCGAGGCGGGCGGATCACGAAGTCAGGAGATCAAGACCATCCTGACTAACACAGTGAAACCCCGTCTCTACTAAAAATACAAAAAATTAGCTGGGCGTGGTGGCGGGCGCCTGTAGTCCCAGCTACACAGGAGGCTGAGGCAGGAGAATGGCATGAACCCGGGAGGTGGAGCTTGCAGTGAGCCGAGATAGCGCCACTGCACTCCGGCTTGGGCGAAAGAGCAAGACTCAGTCTCAAAAAAAAAAAAAAAAAAAAAAAAAAAGGCAGTTGAATACACCTAACGGTAGTGAATAACACATTTATTTCGAGAAATAACAGTAACTATACTGAATATCAAATGCTTTGATGCCACTAAAATTGAATGACTTTTAAACAAAAGACAAAGCAATGTCAATAAAAAGGGACAATAATTTTTAAAATATGGTTTTTTTTTGAGTCAGGGTCTTGCTCTGTCACTGGGGCTAGAGTACAGTGATGCCATCATAGCTCACTGTAGCCTCAAACTCTTGGGCTCAAGTGACCCTCCCACCTTAGTCTCCCAAGTAGCTATGACTACAGGTGCACATCATTATTTAAAAAAATTTTTTTTAGAGACAAGGCCTTGCTATATTGCCCAGGATGGTTTCTAACTCCTGGCCTTAAGCAATTATCTGGCCTCAGCCTCCCAAGGTGCTTGGATTATGGGCATAAGACACTGCTCCAGGCCAAGCAATGATAAAGTTTTGATATCCAGAGAGATATTAATGTCCTAGAGTGTACATTTAAAGAAAATGAAAAAACCCAACATTGAGATATGATCTAGGAATCATTCTACTGTATCAAGATAATGCCACTGAACATCACATGGCACAACCAGAAAAACATGAATACAGCTTTCAGAATTCCAATTCTACTGGAATTAGCAGGATTTCCCACTGATCTTTACCTAGTGATACCTAAATTTTGTGGGTTTTTTTGTTGTTGTTGTTTATTTTTAATTGACAAATAAAATTTATACATATTTATCATGTATAACATGTTTTGTGGAATGGCTAAATTGAGCTAACTAATACATGTATTATCTTGCATAGTTATCCTGTTTTTGTGGTGAGAATACTCAAAGTCTACTCTCTAAGCAATTTTCCAGAATACATTGTTATTAACTACATCATTATGTTGTATAATACAGCAGTTCCAAATATAATTGGTACCAGAGACTGGCTTCATGGAAGACAATTTTTTCCATGGGATGGGCCGGGGGCATGGATTCAGGATGAAACCGTTCCACTTCAGCTCATCAGGCATTAGATTCTCATAAGATGCACTCAACCTGGATCCCTTGCATGTGCAGTTCACAATAGGGGTTGTACTCCTATGAGAATCTAATGCTGCCACTGATCTGAGAGGAGGCGGAGCTCAGGTGGTAATGCTCACTGGCCTGCACTCACCTCCTGCTGTGTGGCTCAGTTCTTAACATGCCATGGACCAATACTAGTCCACGGCCTGGGGGTTTGGGGACTCCTGGAACAATAGATCTCCTGTAAATCTTGAATCAAGCTTATTTTTTTTTTCATGGATTTACCTTGAACTCCCTCTTAGATCTTGGTAGAGGATATTTCATTCAGTAACTCTGAGAACTTTACCTAGAAATTCATTAAATCTTAAAATATCTCTCTATGGTTCCAAGTTAACTACAGTTTAAATTAAGCCCCACAAAATCTTGAATTGAAGAAGAAACTCAAAATGTACATTGACTCAGAGACAATGAAATCCCAATGCCAGTTCATGTTCTAACAAACATCCAAACCCAAATTGCTGATTAACATGTAATCACTGCAACCAGACTCCTTTCCATCTGGAAAGAACAAGAGGCTAATTTTATTATTTTTACTCACATGTCTATCAGCCTCAGACCAGCTAACCAACCTCAGTACCGAGGCCATGTCATCCACCACACATTATTCACTCATTCATTTATTTATTCATTTCATACACTGTATTCAAATTCTACTTTGTGGCTGATATTTTGTACAGCTCTGTGGGAAAGTACAAAAGGAGAACAGATAACTTCTGCTGCAGAAGAATTTGCAATCAAGGTTAAAAGAAAAAAAAACATGTTTGTAAGAAAACACTAGAGAGAAAATTATATTAAGAAAAGCAGGACACTGTAGTAGGGACACAGCTCTCTGAAGAGGTGTTAGGATAGCAAGGCTGGCCCTGTGAAAGGGCTACTGGAGATAGGAAGATAAGGAAGATTCACATGGTATCCTGAACTGTATCCAGTCTGGAGCAAGGAGGAATGGAAGGAGATAGACAAAACCTACCAAATAATAAGGCAGGATTTATTATGTACTAAATAATAGAGACAAAATGTGGCCAGACTAGAAAAGAAAGAAATAAAGTTTGAACAGGGTACATCAGGAAAGAGTTTATAGATATTAGTGAAAGCGTTTGTGTGGTTATGTGTGTGTATTGTCTTACTGTAACAGTAATATATTATGATGTTCAGAGAAGTAAAAATAAATTGCAGTGGGTTGGAGGAGAGAAGAGAATGTTACAATAGGTAGGATTTTAAAAGGATAGAAATAATTTTTTGGAAAGTTGAGGTTGACTTAGTACTGTGAAGAAGGCAGAAAGGCAGCAGAAAGCTATTAAATTTCAGAGCCCCAAGTTGTGTGATGGTAGTTGGAGGTAAGCAGGCAAGACTACTGGGAGACTTCGGAGGAAGATTGGGATACAGGTGTAGAGGTCTGATGCCAAGCTGAGGATGGATGAGGTGCCAAATCCAACAGTTGTTTACATGCTGGAATGGAATGTTTTAGAAAGATCCTCTTTGTGATGGTTCATGCACAGGTGGAATCCAGGGTAGGAAGTTCTGTTAGGTAGCCACAGCTAGAGCCTAAACAAAAAGTGTAACATTTGAATTATAGGCAAGAAAAATTAATCCTGCAGGGAAGGGCAGAAGACAGAAAATTCTAGTAATCATGGAAAAGAGCTGTACTTGATCAGAGAGGCAAAATAGGACTTTAAGGTATGGGGGGAGATATAAAACATGGGGACATCATTGGCTGGCTTTAGACAAGTGGCATGAGGCATAATTACAATCTCTCAATGGTCGTTAAATACTCTGCATTGACAGACAGTGAAGAGCCATATGCCATTTTCTCTTGGAATCTGCATCTTTGTTCTCTTTGTGTTATTTCCTTTCATTCGTCGTCATTGTTTTCTTTTTTTTCTGCTTGTAATAGTTGGTGAGACAAGCTGGCTATAGGAGGTCCAAAAATGTGTACATGCTGTGGACTGTAGCTGCCTCCCCTAGACTGTAATTTTAAGCCTCCAAGTTAGAAATCCCAGGAGATATTTATATCCAGGAGGATTTCAGCTAACTATGTGTTTGCCTCCAGGCAGCAGCCTCAACAGGCGCTGTGTTTACTTTCCAACATTGAATGGAAAACATCATTTTGAAAAAGCTTAATTTCCAAAAACCCATCCCACAACAGCCTAATTTTAGAACCTATGAAAGCTAATAATTTCAAAATTCTTCCCAACAGTTTCTTGTTTATGTTTTGCAGCCCAAGTCTAAATATATCATAAAGGAGATTTTAAATATTACTTTATCCATTTGTTAACTTATTACTGCATTTATTTATTTATTTCCTGAAGCAAAAGCACAGCAACTTATTGTTTTCAGTTTCTGTTTGTCCTCTAGATGTGAGATGTTTTACTCATGATAAGATAAGGACCTAGAGAGAACTTTCATCATCAAACAGATGAAGAAAAATCAGAGTTCACAATTAAACTCTCTGGTACAAAAATAATCAAATCCAATAGCCTGCCACTTTAACAGCACTAGCTCCCTGCACTCTCTTATTAACATTTTCTATTTCTTTAAGGATGATTAAAATAAAAAAGGCACTGCACTGAGTCTAAACCTTCCATGAAGAAAATAATAACTAAACTGGTTCTCAGAAAGAATATAATTGGCCACAATACAGAACTTTAAAGAGATCATTTTAAAAGATCCAAACTTCTCTGCAAAAATTTATCAGAGTCTTCTTAGGAATTAAGCTTCTTGCATAAAAATATTGAAAGGATCCTTCAAATAAGAGCAATTTCAATATTAAAATTTAAGGAAAAGTCACGCTAGCTTGAAGAAAAGGGCGACATGTCCTAGGGGATAGATGGAATTTGGGGTTTTGCCAAACTCATTTTGGAAGGTTTAGGTATGTGATTAAATCAAACATAGCAACTTTTGCCTTGCCTTTCTTGAAGATTGAGAGCCCTGTTTAGAGATCTAGGATGGAGGCCACCTCTTCCTGAGAAACACTGATGTTTTCATATGATTGATACCTTGAGATTTACTGAGAATTTTTATGCTGATAAAACTGTGTCTTGCTCCCAGTTTGGTAATTTTTCTTTGGATCTGTGAGGAAAGACATGTCTGGTGAAGCCTATATCTCTAAAAGTCCTTTTTTGGAAGAAATTAGAAAGTTGCACCGAGCAAAATGCCTAACTTAGGAGCAGCAGCCTACTTAGTCCATCTGTCCGCAGCTTCCCATTTTTGTCTTTTCTCCATGTCTGTGGTCAGGACCAAGTGGTTCTTGAAGTGCCAAGTTGGTCTATTCACTTCCCCTCTAGGAAAGCCTGGTATATGAGACCTTTTACAATCTGGCTCCGACATATACCCACATGGTTCCATTTCCTCCTTCCCCCCACATATCACTGTTCCTCCCGCAAGTAGCCCCGTTCCCTTCCTCTACTTTCTAGCCACACACTTTGTTGCTTGAAAATGCCATGCTTTTTTGTTCTCCTACCCCATCTCAGCGTCTGTCTGATCTTGTGTTTGAAATGACCTTTCACCACTTTTCTTCCATTCTCAGTGTAAAAGCTACCTTCTCATGGAAGATTCCAGACTCCCTCAGGTTGTTGTATTTCCTCCTCTGTGCTCCCAAAGCATTTTGAACAAACTCTCTTACAGCCTTGAGCACTCTGCACTGTGTAATCAGGCTTTGGCTCTTTTCTTATAACAGATATTTTGTTCCTTAAGGGCAGAGATCTATGTTTTCCCACTGCTTAATGAGTGCTAAGCAAATGGGTGTTGAATGTATGAGTTTAGAAAATCCCCATGCATCAGTTTTCTCAGAATATATTATTTTTATTTCAAATAGAATGGCTTTTGTATTTTTAAATATTGTTTCCCTTAAATAATTATTTTAGTGTTTTGCAAAATCATTTGCTTTCCAATAAACCTCCCAGACAATTTTCCCAATTAATTCTGGTTTTATGGAGATTATACCTTTTATTGGACAGTATATTTTACTGGACATGATTTACACGTCTAGTTATAAAATGTCTGCCCACAAGCTTCACAAAATGCATACACTTGATTAACAAGAGATATTCTACAAAGATTTAGCCAGTGCAGCCTTAGCTGTATACAAAATGGGATACAATGAGTAATAAGGACTTAGGCAAGGATTACAACAATTGTTCTTTTCTTCTCTCACGTTCAGTTTGGCTCTACTGTTGCTAACCTTCCCAAAAGGGTGAAATCCAAGTAGGAGTGCTCCACGTTCCAGGCTTATTCCAAACCAGGAGCAGATTCAGGACAAAGGCAAGGCACCAATATACCCAGAAAGTGGATTTTGCATTACTAAGCTTTGAGTGAGTGAAGATTCCACAGTGGAAAGTGATGTATGATTACTGTCACTGGTTCTTTGATTGATTATTGATTGTAATCATCTGTTCTCTTCCATGATGGAGCTGGCTATAACTCGTTCATGCAGTGACTGATAATGCCATGTCCCACCTTTTCAAAGACAACTTATGCATATTGCTGCTGGAGATAAATTACTCATTGACAGGGGGAGATGGGGGAAAGTGGTAAAGGGGCAACTGAAGTTTATTAGTGACTTAATGATATATTGTGCTCAATATCTGTATTCCAGCTATACATAATAAGGTTGGACAAAAGTTACAATGGGAAGCCAATATGCCAGGTAGGTTGGCTATTGGATTCTTTCCCTGTAAAGTTAAATAATAGGATGCATTTGACAAGCTAAGTAGAAATTATGTTTTCAAAATAATGCCTAATAGTTCACTTATGTAAAAAAATTAAAGATCCCTAATGAAGTACTTTAAAATATTTCCCTGGATTGCTTTAATTAGGATCCAGAGAAAATAAGTATTAAAAATAAAATTTTACTCTCAATCTGCAAGGTGGTATTAAATCATTGCTTTGCTAAATTTGTGACCTTAGCTATGTTAGTCTTTCTGAATCACAGCACCTACTGCGGGCCTAATGTACATTAGACTCTCAGTAAATATTTGCGCAATAAATGAATACATCTTAATTTCTTTATATGTAAGATGACTTAGACCATAGGGAGGGTCTGGGAAATGCAAATTTCTCATTAGGGCAAGCTGGCCAAAATGTGTGAATTAATCTAATGACAGGTAAGGAAGCTTATGTTGGGGTCTGTAGGGAAATGGAGGTATTAAAATTTTGTTCTCAAAACTGACTTGGCCAAGTTAAATAAGTATTCTTAACAAATTTATTATTTTTTCATATGCTTGATTTAATATGTGAGTTTCCAGTTTACCCATCAAGTCTTGGATCTTAGAGTTGTTATGTAACCTCTATCAGAAAACACACATCAAATATCTAATACAGTGCCTGATAGTTTTAATAATAGATGTTAGACATAAATAATATCCTAATATGAAAAAAAATTGAAAACATTTTTCCTGCTACTAAACATATTTTTCCATTAATTCACAAATGGGTAAACCAAATGTGGTATATCCATACAGTAGGACATTATTTGGTGGCAAAAAGGAATGAACTACTAAAGCACGCCACAACATAGCTGAACCTTGAAAATGTTGTGCTAGGTGAAATAAGCCAGTCACAAAGTCCACATATTCACTACCTACTTACCAGAATAGCTAAAATAAAAAAAATAGTAACAGCATGAAATCTTGGTGAGGGTGAAGAGAAACTGGATCACCTATACACTGCTGATGTGAATGTAAAATGGTATAACCACCCTGGAAAACAGTGTGGCAATTTCTTAGGAAATTTACATGCAATTAGCAAATCACCCAGTAATTGCATTCTTAGGCATTTATCCCAGATAAATAAAAACTTGTATTCACACACATACAAAAATATATGGAAATGCTCACAGTAGCTTTATTCACAATAGCCAAAGACCTGAAATCATCCAGATGTCGTTCAGTGGGTGAATGGTTAAACAAACTGTGGTATTTGTCACAGACTGTTACTTAGTAATAGACAGGACTGAACTACTGATACATGTAACCACCTGGATGGTCTCTGGGAAATTATGATAAGCAAAAAAAAGTCAATCCCATAAGATTAAATAATGTTTGATTCCATTTATATAGCATTGAAAAACAAAGGTTTAGAAATGGAGATCGGTTTAGTGGTTGCGAGAGGCTAGGGATGGTAGAAGGCAGGCACATCAAAGGGCCACACAAGAACACAAGGATCTTTATGATGTTGAAATTTTTCTGTATCTTGACTGTAGTGATGGATACACAAACCTACACATGTAACAATATTTTTTAGAATTAAATTCATGGGAGTGCACAACACACACAAAGGAGTACAAGTAAAACTGGAAGTCGGAATAAGATTGACAGGTTGTATCAAATGTCGATATCCTGGTTATAATATTGTGCTATGGTGATGTAAGATGATACCATTGGGGGAAACAGGGTAAAGGGTACATATGACCTCTCTGTAAAATGGCATTTGAATCTATGATTATTTCAATAAAAACTTCTAGCAAATATTTTAAAGGCCACATATTTTATAATCCTGTACATATAAAATGTCCAGAATCGTCAAATCTGTAAAGACAGAGTAGATTAGTAGAAGAGGGACTGGGGTGGTGAGAGGTGGTGGGAATGAGTCTGACTACTAATAGGTATGGTGTTCTCTTTAGGGAGATGAAGATGTTCTGCAATTAGATAGCAGTGATGGTTGCAAAACTTGGTGAATATACTAAAAACCACTGAATGGTCTACTTTAGAAGGATATATTTTATGTGAATTTTATCTCAGCCACCCATGACAGTTCATCTCCAGGTTTGGGAAGGTGGCCCTCAGAAAAAAAGCAAGAGGCCCTCAGAAAAAAAAACAGTTTATAGACAGCTCTCTTCTCTCTTGTACCCTATGGACAATAAATTTGTTCCCTTAAACTTCAATGAATTACTCATTTGAAAAAAGGGTTTCCCACACCCATATCCTTCAGTCAATGGTGATGCACGTTTCTCAGCTGTTGTCTCCCTATTAGCAGCATCTAAACAGAAGATCCAGCTCCCAGAATATGTCTTAAAATGTCATTTGCCTTGTGGAGAAAGATCATTTGAATCCAAATTAGTGTTAATATTATTTTGTACTTTGAACACATACTACACAGAACAATTGGCAACAATGGATCGAGTTCTTGAGTCTTGAACTTATTTTGGTAAAATTTTAAATGTGATCTCTCCAGCTTGCACAAATTAAAAAGAAACAAAATTAAGGAATTCTTGAGAGATTTAATAGATATAACTTTGATAAGAAGTCCTCACATTAATCACATGCAAAATGTATATGCCTAGGATGCTTTTTTTGAACTTTTTTTCTAAGTGCCAACATAACTATTTTATTCCTATAATAGAAGAAACTAGAAGATAAGCATCATTTTTCAATTTAGAATAAGTTCTGTACACAGTCCTTAATATGCATGCAAAAGCACAGGAGTCACTCCAATATACCTGTAGATTTGATGATGGCTGTGAGGGGAGCTAAGTCACTGTCATAAAAATTGCATGAAATCTCTACCTTTTGCATTGTGCAAAGGAAAGAGAGGAGGTGGTTATGGAAATGAGATTGGCTCACAGAAGGCAATAGTTGCATAAGATAGTGGGTTGCTTCTGGAGATTTAATTTCCTTCTCTTCATCTTTTTTTGTTTTTAAGATCAAGAATATGCTTGAACGTAGAAAATAGAATTGGCTTCACTATTCCGGAACACCTTAGGAGGTATTAGTACAGATATTCAGCCTCGGAGAAAGTAATGACAATAGGTAACAATGAAGCAGAAGAAACTACAAAAGGGAGGTAGGAATATGGATGTCAAGGGATGTCGTTGAAATAGTCTAAGATAGCAGTATTGAGTAATTTTCACCAGCCAAGAAGAGTTTAAGAAAAAAAAATGGAAAACTCATTAAAACTATGGAGACCAGACAGGCTATAGATCAGACACACACACACAGAGAAACATATTTCAATTGTCTACTTTAAGAAGGAAGATAGTATGAAATAGTAAACATCTCTCTAGGCAAAGAAGTTAGATATTTTTAAATGCCAAATACAAACCATACTGTAATGAATATATTGCCTTACTTTCAAATATATTTAAATTGGTTTGTCTTTTGACTATCATATTTCTTTTAGTTAAAGCTGGTGTTAACTAAGTTTTGGCAAATGTAGAAGAGAACTTCAGCCTTTTCCAGTCTGCTTTTAAGGATTTCTAGAGGATTCTTTTTCTTACTGGAGCCAAGCAAATGCTGCATCCTTGTAGATCAAAGTCTTAGGTTTTTATTTTCTATACATGTCACACATCTCAGAGCAAGTTTGAAGGAACTGATAATACACCAGGTAGCTTGCTTGACTCATCAGTTCAAATGCAGCCCTGGTGATAAGGAATTCCCCATGAAACAGCTCAGCAGACAGAAGGCTGTTTATAAGCAATGCCTGCTTCAGAGTAGATGTGTGAATGCTTAGAAGGGTACCCCAAAGATACTGAAATTAACAGGAACTGTGCAGTAAATAGAAGATGTTTAGAGGCCAAGTTGTCCTTATTTATCTATAATATCTCTTGCTGAAATTTCAGTGTTTGTCTCTATCTTCCATCACCTATCTAGGTCTTTTACATTTAAGGCTTTCTTGCTATTTTGAGGTCACTAAAGCCTGTTAAAATAATTTAGACTGATGCTGCAGGAAGCTGACATAGGCATCTTCTCTCATTTGCCTCTCAGTATTTTTCATCCACTGTGAGAGTAAGGAAACAATCTCTCTCTGGGTGTCTTAGGACTTTTCCATTACCTAGCACAGTGTTCTGAATATGTTTTTGGATGCCAAGTAAATGCTTTGGGATAAAGATAATGAAGACATATCTTCTTCAGTTTTTGGTAATTTCATTCATTTTCCCTGAAAAAATGATATTTTTAATTCTTGAAGTACAGTGGAGTAGGAAGAACACTGAAGAAAAAGACAAAAGTTCCAGTTTTACCTACCAAGCACCTCCTATGTACCATTTACTAAGTATGTTTTATGTGCATTCTCTGTTTTCTTTATGGCTCTGCAACAATTCTCATTTTGCATCTCAGAAAACTGAGACTTCCTAAGAAATGTTTAGTAACTATCACAAAGTCATTGCAACTTGAAAGTGTAAAAGTAGGGTTTAAACCCACAGACAGACCCACTCAAAAGCTCATGTTTTTTTCCCTCCAACTTACTGTTTTTCTTGTAATGAACTTGAACAAATCACTTAACTGCTGTCAGCCTCATACAGCTCCACATCCAAAAAATGCCTCAGCTCGTGTGTGTTTGTGTGTGTGCGTGTGTGTGTAAAACATGTACCATTCCTTGAAGAGAGATTATTCTTGTCCACTTAATAGAGTTGGTGCAAGAATGAAACATAGCAATTCACATGAAAATATTTATAAACTACAAGTGCTTGAACACATACTATATTATTTTTACATTTCATTATGTCATATATACTATACATCATATAGTTTCACTAAAATATATTAACGTTTAATTGCATTCAAAATTTTGAGGGTTTTTGACTTGACTATAAGCTTTCTAGTAGAGATTTTTGTTTTATAGACTTTGCTAAAATTTTCTATTTCATTGGAGAGAAGACTTAACCATGGTACTTTTTTCCAGAAATGTAAATGGGTTAAAGGAAGTAGATGCATTTCTTCCTCTGAATCACATCATAAGAACTGTTCCTGGAGCAGACATTATCATCTTCATATCCACAGAAGAAGAGAGATAAGAAGGTGGATAAGAAGACAGCTCGAGGCGGATGCATCTTCAAGGGCAGGACTTATATGATCAAGGATAATTCTTATATCTGCAAGTCCTTGGCATGAGTGAGTGTAATAATTGGACAGAGTCTGAAACTCTGAGGAAAAGGAAATGGACTTTGAAGAAACCTGGAAGAACTTGAGGAAATAACAGCGTGTTACTGCAGTAAACAGCTGCTTCACGGGCCCGGTGGCTCACGCCTGTAATCCCAGCACTTTGGGAGGCCGAGGCGGGTGGATCACGAGGTCAGGAGATCGAGACCATCCTGGCTAACACGGGGAAACCCTGTCTCTACTAAAAATGCAAAAAATTAGCTGGGCGTGGTGGCAGGCGCCTGTAGTCCCAGCTACTCGGGAGGCTGAGGCAGGAGAATGGCGTGAACCCGGGAGGCGGAGCTTGCAGTGAGCTGAGATCGTGCCACTGCACTCCAGCCTGGGTGACAGAGCGAGACTCCGTTTCAAAAACAAAAACAAAAACAAACAAACCAAAAAACACAGCTGCTTAAAATGTCGGAGCAATAGGAATGGGATTGCTCTTTCTTTAATATGACAGACCAGTTCTATCACGATGACCAATTAATTTTTGTAGATACTTAATTTTTGCTATTGCATAGCAATAACATTTAGGAAACCATGTCTTCTTTTCTCTTAGAAAACTAGGTACAAAGATGAGTACTGGAATATTGGCCTACGTCTAATTGTCACAGTCAGTTGAGAAACCACATTGTAGCAAAAGGTTGAGACTTAGAAAGTCCCCAGCCTCTTGTCTATAGATTGGCACTAGGGGGTCATACAGTTTGTCATTTGTATCAACTTGGTGACAGCCAGTTGATAAGTATTGGGCATGTAACTCAAGTGTAGCAAATCTATATGATAACTGGTGGCCTAACTGGAATATTGGTGACTAACTAAACCAGTCGTATTTTTATCCCAGGAAATTTGTGCAGAAACATAAAGTTGAGCATCTGTAGACTTAATGCAGTAAGCAGAGTCCATGAAGCACTAAAAACTGTGAGAAAGCAGAAACCACAAGACAGGAGAGCCCTGTCATAGAAGTCAGTGACAGTAGGAGCAGACAAGCAGAAGTGTGGAGAGTTGTGCTATCTCCCTGATGATGAAACCTTAGGGTGAGGATCAGCCCTGCTCTTGAGGGGTAATGTGATAATCAGGTCACCAGGGCTGATGGATCTTAAAATGCTGTCTGCCCAGTTCCTGAGGTCCAGCTTTTAATCCAGGCTCCAGTCTTTGAGAACCTGGCAGTAACAGTGTACCTGCTCTTCTTGGAAACCTAGTAGTGCAGATTTTTCTAGACTCTTGTATAAAACTCAGAAATATGGTCAAAATTCCTTACTTCCTTATTTTCATATGTATCTTTATAATAAATCTCTCATTTCTTAGTTCAACTGAGTGAATTTCTGTTCCTAGCAACAAAAAGCATCTGGCACATTATATTCGAAATATATCTTGGAATATATATATGCACATATGTATCAGCCTTATTTTTGAAGAATGTTATAACTCATGCAACAAGTATTTATTGAAAAGCTAATGAGATACTGGGAAAATGAGAGGAAAGAAAGTTGTTTTTGTTTTGTTTTGTTTTGCAAGAGGTCAACCTAACTCATGCTCCATCTATTATACAAGTATTCATACCTGAGAATTTTAAACCATGTGTGCCCTCAGACATAAAGTCCATAACAAGATTCTATATCATATTTAGCTGTAATAAAGGGCAACAAGAATATTTTAGAGCTTAGAAAGTCAGTGTTTCATTCTGGCTTTGGAAAGGCAGGCAAATTTGCCTTGCTGACCCTCTGTATTACAAGTAAAATGGGCTGCCTAGAAAATCATTCTGTGGAAATAAGGCCAAGTCTTTGGGGATCTGACCAGTTGCTCTCCCTCCCCAGAGTTGTCAGAGGCTAGATGCTCTTGACCTAATGCCCTCGTACATGCCAAATAGGTATAGTAATTTCATTTTCTTCTTGAAAATACTTTTACCAGCCACAAATAGAACAAAATTAATCTCAGGACAACTTGAATTTGTAATTGAAATAGAACAGCTGTGTGTTTATCCAAAAATAAAATAGTGATAGTTTGTGCAGGAATTTCTGCAGACTGAGAGATGAGATGGTCATCTCATTCCAACATATACATACTAATGGCCTAAATTGTTACATATGTAAACATTAATAAGCTCATTTAGCAACCACTGAACTCTGCATTTTTCCAACACATTTGCTTTCATCCATGCCCTGAAGATAAACAACTGAGGAAAAAATCCATCATTTAAGTGCAATTAAGCTTAACAATTACTCAAACTTGTCATCCATAAATCATAACCAATAAAACATTTCCAACAAATTGCTCATTGGTGGAATCACCAGCTATGCATTTATTATAGCAAAAGAACCACCACTTCATGTATTAATGCATAACATCTCTTTGTTTCAAAAAAGGCTATGTTTGTTTCTTTCTAATCACATTGCCTGTAGACTGAATACAGTATGTGGATACCATTACTGCATAATTGAAAAAAAGAAGAACAAATTGCTCTAAACCTAGTATTCTAGTCTTATGACATGATATCCCCTCTCAGTAATTTTTTCTTTTATCACCGAGGGAACAGAATCATTTGTAATGTGGCTCTTTGTTAATCCAGATAGATGGAACCCAGTAAAAGCTTTAGGTTACACACCTGTAAGAATAATGTCATCCCTGTGCATCAGTTTTACCAAAAGGTTCCCATTGAGCTTTCTTTTTGCTCACTGGATAAGAAAGCATTGGCGTGTGACTTTGGATATTTAAACACCACCTGTAGATTGTATTCTGAAGATTTCTGGGGATACCTGTAACCTGATGAGAGGAAAATAATTACCCATGAGATTAATACAGAGAGAGCATTTTACTATATTCCTACTTCCAGATCACCAAAATAGATGGATCTATGAAATAAGTCTGACCATGTGTGTGTGTAACTGTGTCTGTGCAGGCAGAAAATCTATCAACTTTTCTAGAAATACATTAAAAGCCCATGTCCTTCTGTAGTTATTCAGCTATTGTACTCAATAAAATAATAATACGGGCCTATAATTGAGTTTTCAAAACATGTTCACACAAATTACCTCATTGAATTCTTTGAAGTCTCATGAAGTACCTAAGGAAGATATTCTAAATCTACAAATGAAGAAACTGAGACTTACCCATGATGACATGAGATAGAAAAGGCTGGCCTTAAATCTATTGGTTTCTGCATTCTAGATCAGTGCCCATTTCGTGGCCCTCAGAAACCTCTTAAAGATCAAATGTTCTGAATTGTTGTTTACCAACTACCAGGTTTTCTAGCCCCTTGCAGTGTCTGAAGACCTTGCCTTTGATTGCCTATATATCAGGGGCTGCTGTCACTGATTTTGTTGGGAACACTGAACAGCTAATAATTCACCATACTCAATATTCTCATTGCAAGGCCATTGGCCATCTGTCTCCTCCCCTTAGTTCCTCTTTCTCCAAGCTCTGCTTTCTTTTATCTGACACACACTCTCCCTTCTTTCTCTCCACTGGGCCTGCCAGAAATTTTGTTCCCTGTCAGATAAGGTTTACTAAATCCTCAAACACTGTCTAAAGATACTTCTTTGTCTTTGCTCAACTCACACCTAGCTTTTCCTACAAGGACAACCACCACTTCTTATGAAACTTTTAGAAAAGAAGAATGAATGCATCTTGAATTCTAAATTTAAGTTAGGAGTCATTATTATATAAAGAAAATAAAGGTTACATAATGTAAGAATATCATTAGTTAGTGCAATGTGCATTTGGACCTTAGGGTGTTAGGTTGAGCAGAAATTATTATTTTCATTTGGCAGATAAGAAAACTGAGGCTAACAAAGATAACATAACTCAAATAAGGTGCAATAGCAGTTAATGGAGGATTCATCATCTTTGGCTTCCATCTTTCCGTTATTTCTCTTAAATTACTTTGTCTTTCTGTCCTTATTGTCATCATTCTTAGTAGGAGAGTTAAGATCTGTCTATGACAATAACTATCACATTTTTCTGTTCTCCACTTAATCAGCATCTATTTGTCAACAAGTACTTAATTTTTAATCAACCATATTTAAAAACCCTAGTTATATTCTATTAGGTAATTGACCAGAGTCTACAGACATTTTCTGCAAATGGTTAAATAGTGAATAATTTAGGCTTTATGCGGTCAGATTTCTTACAACTACTCATCCCAACCATTGCAGTTCAAAAGCAGCCATCCACTTTGTGTAAATGAATGGGGATGACTATATCTAGATAAATCTTTATTTACAAAAGCATGTGAGTGGCTGGATTTGGCCCACAGGCCACAGTTTGACAATGCTTGTGACAGATTGCTACAGATGGGTAGGAGTAGGGAAGTTGTGGTGCAGAGGGTGGAAGATGGGCATGAAAGGGGCTAAAGGTTCTACCAGGCTAGTTTGGATGACCATATAGGTTTACTAACAAACGTAAAGCAACCTACCAACAGATACAGAATGATATCATATAGACTAGACATCCTAGTGGCTATAGGGGACATAGAAAGCTTTGGTTTCAAATCAGGACCACAGAGACAGCTTCATTATTTCAGAGTGGATGGAAATGTGCACTTAAATGTTGATTAATTGCCTCCTAAATACGAGAGAATGGTAAGGATATATATATGAGGATAATTTAACTTTATTCTTACAAGAACCCACTAAACAGAGCATTATCATGTTTATTTTAAAGATAAGAAGCAAAATCTCAGAGAAGATACATACCTTGACACTATTAACAATGGAGAGAACCAAGATTTAAAATCAGCTCTCTGCTATTCAAAATTGTATTCCTTCTATGACCAAAAATAAAAAAAAATCTAAAAACCTAAAAATTCCTATTGTGGGCATAGGAATAATTACCCTTGGCCTTCTATTATATGCTATCTGATATAGAACTGCTAATTAGAAAAATATGCTCTTTTCTTTCCTACCTCTCCCACCACCAGCAAGGCGCACCTGCAAAGTTGTTAATAAGGATGAACAGCAGGCATACTCAAAGCTCATGCACTCCCTTTGGCTCCACTGTTCATCACCAGAGGGATAAAGTGAGCATATAATTGATTTATTCTTAGTAACTTCATTTTTATAAAATAAATATTGAAATATAATTGTCAGATGTGGTAGCTAAAACCGCTCTACAAATTAGTAATAGTGATTGATCAAATACTTGCTGCTGTGTATAGAAAAGCTGAGCTTCCACTTACATAACAATGTGCTTCCAAAAAGTTGGCATAAAATTATTTGAGACAAATCCCATTTCAGTGTAATAAGCAGGAGCTTCTTCAAGGGAAATGCAGTTATACTTTTAAAGCAGAAAATGTTTGAAGCATTGCAAATAATCAACCTCTAATTTACTTGTTTTGTTAGAATATTTTTTGTATACCAGGGCTTTTCAAAAGAAGGTTTATTTACAAACCAATGTGTTTAAATAAAAGCATGCTGGAGAGAGAGAAACATACTATTGAAGCTTCTTAAGATTATTCTGATTTCTTTTTAGGAATTTTTTGTCTTAACTTTAAAGAATATGCATAAAGAAATGAAGCATCACATTAAATTTTCAGAAGCAGCTAGTTGAAATTATAATTTTTATCTTTAAGTATTGTGACCTAAATAGGCTTGCCTATAATTATTTAGATATTAGAGAAACTTGGTGTAACAACACCCCACATTTACGTCTGATGACAAGACACCAACATCAGACAATCTTACGGAACTATAAAAATTATTAATTGAGAAGAGCAGGAAGCATTTATCTTGTTAGTTTCAGATTCATTTGTTGTTCCTTGGACAAATATACTGACTTAAGACAACGGCAGAACTTGCTCTTTTTAAAAAATTGGGTTCAAATTACACATTGTTAACTAAATGATAATCCCAAGTCCCTGCTGGTATTAATAAACAAACTTTAAAAATTGTAATTGTAAGTTATTGATCCCATGCCAAAAACCTGTCACCAGTGTATAAATTAGCATGAACATATGTTAATGCATAATTCACAATTTGCAACAGGGCTTTGTTGCAAAATTGATGAAAATTCATGAAAGAACCTTTTTAGATTAAGTTGCCCAATAAACAAGTAACCAGAGGCATTCACAATGTAGAGTTAATGCAGCTTTTGAAATTAGCTTTTGTGCATTTTGTGGGATTGTTATAAGACATTTAAACTTCTAATGGATGCTTTTTTATGTTTCTATATTTTTTGATTTTTCTAAAATAAACAATTTGTTTCTAAAAAGTGAAAACACACTTCTACATAAACAAGTTTGTTTATTTCTTTGAATCACAGATGTCCACATTTGTAAAACTAAATAGAAAGGGACTGAGAGGTCATCTACTCTAAGTTTGACAACATGGTACAGAACTACTTGCATTTGATCAACTTGTGTGCTTGTTAAAAATATTCATCATCCTGGCCCACTCCTAGGGTGCCAGAATCAAAATGTCTGATGGGAAACCCAGAAATCTCCATGTTCCCCTAGACACCTCAGCTGCTTCTTATATAAAGTTGAGATGCAATCATGTAGAATCTGCAAGTGAGAAACTAAGGCCCAGTACACTTGAGACCACCTAAAAAACAATGGCAGATCTGGGAATAAGATCTAGGTTTCCTTACTCCTAACCCAGTGTTCTTCATCCACATTTCAGAGGACAGTAAGTAAATAAAAAGATAAATGTTTCTGCACATCAGAACAGACAATCACTTCATACCAATATTACCAGAATAATTTTAGTCTGTGGCCATGACTATCACATGCTTTCTATAGCTGGGTCCCGTTCTCAAACTGTGGTGCTAGAATTACCACTCTTACAGATCTGCAATGATTGTCACACCCAACCTCTTCTTGACCATTCAAACTTGAGAAGAAAGTATCAATTCTCTCTTGAGGTGGGGTACTATAAAATATTTATATTCAAAATTAACCTCCAGAAGACTGATCCTCTGGATAAATATACAAACATACTTAGTTTAATGACTATACATTAATCTAGCTATGAGACATTTATACATGACTGCAATCCTTTCTTTCAAATAGACTGTGTTTTGAAGGGTGGTTAAAATTACAATGCAATGATAAAGTGGCACTTGGGACAGGCTTAGAGAAAGGTTGCCAATTCGGCAAATAAAAATAGGATACTTTTGATATAAGTAAATAACGCAATATGCAGTACTTGTTTTCTAAAATTTAACTGGGTATCCTATATTTTATCTGGCACTCTGAAATTAGAGAAAGAAAAAAGGAGAGATTTTCGGGAGAGTGTTGTTAGTTCTGGATCAGGGGGTCTCATTGAGAATTTGGTGTAGTCCTTGGACAGCACTAAGATACTACACCTGGAAGAGAACAAGAGGAGGCATCTCTCAGCTTGGTTATTGTGTCTAACGATGGGAATGTCCATAATTTCCATGGAATCTAGATCTAGACAAAATGCCTGTAAAAATTTATTTGATTTTATCTTGAACCAAATAAAAATTATGCCATAGAAATGGTAAAACCATGTACAGGTAGATACTGCCATGGATGTATCTGTAGATAATTATCCCTGGACCATGTAATTATCCATGAGTAACCCAAAACTATGTCTTAATCTATTATTGCCTTATGATTATTTAGTAATTTTATTCTATCTCTCAGTTTTTCAACTAAGTCATCACCTTCTTAAAATTTGGGCATTTCTATTCCATTGCTCTTTTTCAAAGTCAGCTTGCAGACAATGTTTACTGAATAAGATTGAGGATTATTTTTTTAGGCTTGATAGATTTTGCCTAAATTATTCATTTATTCATTAATCCTTCCAACAAATATTTATTGAGTGCCATCTTAACTCTGCAATTTGCTTTGGCTGGAGAGGCAGTAGTAGGATGAGGGATAGAAACTCAGCTACTAATCAATATGAAGTTTTATGTCACCTTTAGTCAACATAGAAGAGAAAGCTGCTGTTTATTAATAAACAACCTATGGAGAAAACCATTCACCTTTTCCAGTTTAGTTTTAAAATTACGATAACTTCCTCAAACTAGTGTAACCCAGATTCCTGTATACCTCCCCCAAACTGAAGACAAATACAGAGTTTATCAGCAGAGTCCTAAGGCCTTTGTTATAGACTGAATGTTGATATCCCCTGCCCCACCCTGCCACGAATATATTGAACCTCTAACTCCCAAAGTGATGGCATTTGGTGATGGGGCCATGTAGGCACACAGTAAGAAGGTGGCCATCTGCAAGCCAGAAACAAAGCCCTCACTGAAAACTGAACCCTACCAGACCTTGATCTTGGACTTCCCAGCCTCCGGAACTGAGACAATAAATTTTTGTCGTTTAAAGCAAACAGTCCATGGTGTTTTGTTATGGCAGCCCAAGATGACTAAAACAGCCTTAAAATTATTCAGTGAACATGATGGGAGTTTAAATGTGAACCTCAAATGAATCTATTTGACCCAGAGGTTGACATATAAATTTAAGTTTCTTCCAAAATATTTTATTAATTTCCTCTAATTACAAAAATTAACTTAGTTAAATCTCAAAAAAAAATTCACAATTCAAGTATGCATTTTTTTTCAAATCCTGAGCATCATAGTCTGAATGTACACATGCAAAGCGAGAAAAAGAATACGAATGTTTCCTAGACAAAATGAATTCTCTCAACAGAATTTTTGGCTTTAAATATACCACCATGTATATTTTTGGCCTGAAAAATACACTATTTTTCTTCAATAGTCCCCTTAAGTTTGCATAATTAAACAGAAAGTAAAATTACTTGTCAGGACAGTATATGGCAATTTCCAAAACTGTTTGTAAGTCCAAAGAATTTGTTTACAGGTTTTGACCACAGCAGTGTAACTCATGCATGAGAACACTAACTAAAGCAGCAAAACACAAACTATTATTGTAAGGCACTTTTAACCAATGTTATAAAATGGAAAGAATACTTTGATTCTCTGGCCCTTAACACTATTAGGAAATTCTAAATTAAAAAAAAAATCATTGCCTAAATTCTTAAAAAAAACCTTGTCATAATATAACAAAAAGTATTTAAAACTCAATCTGAACGACTGTATTTATAGGGACATAAAAAGAACTGGATCAGGCAGTAGGCAGCTATTCCCTCCTCACAAGTCAGGGGTGGTGTGAAGGGTTTCATAAAGCAAGGCCTCCCCGCAAATTTCTTCTTTAGGACCATTATCCACAATCTTGGACATCTCCGGGAAACCCTACCATTAATATTACTCTATTTAATGATCAACAATGGTTTCCACACAGCCAAAATTAAAATGTGTATGTATTACCTGAGAAGCCTCTGTTGAGAGGATGGGAAGAGATGAAGGAGACAATGTTGATTAGGTAAGTTAACTTGGATTTACTGATTATAGCAGTAACCACTTATGCTACAGGGTTCGGCAAGCCTGTTCTGGGAGTGACCATTCATAGGAAATGTCTTGACCATTCATAGGAAATGTCTTGACAATTCAGAAGTCACTTCTCAGCACTAGGTGCTTGGAGGAGGACGACGGAGTTGTCACTGTGGAGGGCAGCACTGGGGGCTCATGTTTTGAGGGCTTGGGAACTGAGCAGCTTGGAAGCACTGGTTTAGGAAGAGACCCTTGGATGACTGGTGCTTCAGTAGGCTTTGGGTGAAGGCAAAATTAAGGGAAATTAATGTAACTCCAGACTTGCAAACCTCTGCTTTCTGTTTTCTCTTTGAAAATAACTTGCCATTAACTGAGTAAGCTTTTACTCTTGAGATACAATGGGAGGAGAAGACAAGAGAGGAGAGAATATGACAGGCAGTTTCCTCCCTGTCCTCCAGTCCATCTTTTTCATTGCCCACTATTTCTTTGCTCAGATACTTCTGTCCATCATGGTTCATTGAAAGTTCTTCATCTCCAAGCAATTTTCACACAACTGTCAGGCAGCTTTCAATTGCAATGGCAATTAGCCAGATGTCAGCCATCCTATTATTTCCATCCTCAGTTCCACATTACATAGTCATGGCCTGATAACAGCTGAGGTGGATCCCTCCTGGGCTCCACTTTATAAACCTGCAAAAACCCTGATTTAGAGCAAAAAGATTCAACACAAAGAGGCAAACATAACCAAATTCCTTCCATTTCTTTTAACTTTGCTTTACCTGTTCCTCTCTTACTTTCCCCCATCCCATTGCCTGTCCCTCATTGCAACTTATCCAGATATCCTAACTAGTAAAGCTAGTGGAAATGATTAAACTATTGCACATGTCTTTTCAAAACACAGTTATCTTTTCTTCTCCTATATCAGCAAAATCTACACATAAGCATCCATTCCCTGGGGCTCTTATTTCTCCCATCAGCTTCTTTTTAAAAAATTATATAAAGAAAAAAGTCCCCACTGCACTGCAGATCTTAACTGCACTGCACTTAACAAAGTCCACTTCTTGAGGCATGCAAGACCTTACTTTATAAGCAAAACCCAGGCACAGAACAGATAAACCTAGGAAAGCTGTAAACTGAGCTTCAGAAAGGCACACGTGAATACAAGGTCTGCTCCCAATCTGGCAGCTACATTCTGGAGCTCTCCCACACAAGCACATTTTTTCTAAGGCATGCAGAGCTAATAAATAGAAAAGTTGTCATTCAGAAAGATCTAATCATCTAAGGAGGAAACCTTTCTACATATTTTAATCTGTTATCCAAAACTATAATTAGCAAGATGGGTTTTCATCCACCTACTGAAAACTGTTTCAACTCAGAGGACATGGTTAGCATTCTCTGGCCTTCATTTAGGGTTACAAATTAATCAGGACCTCAAATGCTTAGACAGGTGATTAATCTGCCTGAGAGAAGGGTAAGGTGAGAAGGAGCCTCAACCCAGTATGTAGAGGCAGGTAGATATTTTCGTAAAAGCAAATAAAACAAAAATGCACCATAGGGGTCCAGTCATTTTTGTCTCTCTGGCTCTGTTTTCAAACATTCTCAGTTTATGAGCAAAGAATGGTTTTAATAATTACCATCACTGTTCACTTTGCAAGTGGGCACATACACACGAGAACAGAGAAGAGAAAGTGAGAACAGACAAATATTCATCATGCCGGCTCATTTCACATGTATTCAGATCTACTTTCTGCACTGCCCTTTTTCTGAGACTAGCACAGTTTTGTTTTATTTTCTAAGATACACCAAGTCAGAAGGATTTCAGTGTTATTCTATGACTACCTTCCTGTAAATTGGAGAATCAAAGAGGAAACGACACAAGGAGTAATTTACACTTTATCCTATTCTAATCCGTTCAACCCAAGCCAATAATATTTTCATTCCATGCCTTTTTATATTTCTCTTGCTTTGAACCACTACTCTTCCTTGTAAATACATATTGCAACTTGCAAGGTCCAAACTCTGGGTTCCACCTTTCCTTGGGAACTCTACCCTGACCCCTCCCAGCACATGGCAATGGCTTTTTCTTACGGAATCTCAGACCTAGAGGGCTCATTCAACATCCCATATTTACTCAGCCTCATGCTATCATAGCCTTTGGACTCAAACTCTATAGATGATCAGGAATTATTTGTATTACTGTATAGATAAGAAAGCTAATTGTTTCTAGGAGGATTGCTTTTTCTTTTTTCAATATAAGGTATCAAAGATTTTTTAGGGAAATTAGTACCACAGTTTACAGGAAAACAATGCCACAATCTGGAATAAGAATAGAGGAGAATGTAAGAATGTATTTAACAGCACTATTCATAATAGTCAAAAGTGAAGGAAAAAATGTCCATCAACAATAAAATAAATTGTGGTATAATAATTTAAAAGAATAATATGCAGCAATGAGAATGAATGAACTACAAGCATAATCAATGGCATGGATAAAACCAGACCCAGAACACTATGTATTTCCTAATCCCTTTAAAATTAAACCCCCAAATAAGCATTAATTTATGGTATCAGAAGTCAGGATAGTGGTTCTCCATGGAACAGAATTAGAAAAGTGGGAACAAGAGGGCCTGACAAGTGCTAGTAACATTCTATATCTTGATCTGGGGACCGTTTATGCCAGTGTTTTCCTTTTTAGTAATTTCATTGAGCTGTTTATTTATGACATATGCACTTTTCCATCTGTGTGTTATACTTTAAGGAAATGTTTACTTAATAAAAAGGAAAGAGATAAATTGGACCTAAGGAGTTGCTATTTGGTACAACTTGGATGTTTAGATATGATGATGTCTTCATTTCTAGGACTTTCTCAATTAGCTAGTAACTGGGTTTAGGGGTCATAAGCAAGATACAGAAGGCCTGTAGCATTCAGTTAACCTAAATTCTACGCAGCACCTTGCTGGCTTTCTCACTGCCTGGTCCTTTCTACCTGCAATGCAGTGTATCAAGTCTTTTTGATCCACACATGGCTTTATTCTTTAAACTAGTGGTCTCTGAACTGGCAAATACCACCGCAGCTATCGAGAAAGATCCTTTAGTGTTCAAGATGAAAATGTTGGACTTCTTTTTATAATAATAATTTCATCTAGAACAGATATGAAAGACACTTAACTCTATTAATGTTTACAACACAGATTGCTTCTGGCACCCTTCCTCTATTGAAAGTCGGAGGTTGGGTGTCACTTATGGTCCACATGCAAAGCTTCCTGAAATGAGTGTAGAGTCCTAAGATGCCAAGGGAAGCCAGTGGAGCTCTTACTGGTTTGTTTACTGTTTTCAGCATGCTGCAGTATCTGGTAGCTTACGTGTGCCTGGTTACACAGACACAGATTACCTTATGTTAAAAATCCCTCTTAAAATGAACAAGTGCCTCAAAAAGATTCCTACAAATAAATGGCAGGTGGAAAATAATTATTGTAATATGCAGGTCTAAGCAAATAGGAAAATAGAAGAATAGACATTTCCAATCTTTGTAGAATGAATTCTTAACAAGGTAACTTACTTCTCAAAAGACAATATAATCAGATCTGATGTGAAGCCAGGAAAAAAAATAAAGGTTATTAAGAAGACTATTTGAACTATGAATCTATATCTAATAAGGCAATAATGACCTTTTCAGGTATTTAATGCACTTTGATGTATATGACAGTATTAAGCCATTATCATTAATACTATATAACGTGGTTTATTTCACCTTTATCTTATCTTTTTCATTTTTATTTAACGTATTTTTGTTGAAATGACTGTAGATTCACATGCAGTTGTAAGAAATACTATAAAGAAGATCAAGTACAGTTTGTTCAGTTCCTCCTAATGGTAACATTTAGCAAAACTATAATAAAGTATCACACACAAATATTGACTTTGGTGTGGCCCACCAATCTTATTCAGAGTTCTCCTTTTTATTGCTGAGTAGTATTCCACAACACAAATCACAATTTGCTTAACCGCTTACCTGCTGAACAACACATAGCCTATTTAAAGATTTGTGTGTTAGAAATAAAACTGATATAAACACTTATATATTTATTTTTGTGAACATGAGTTTTCATTTCTCTGAAATAAATGCCCAGGAGTACAACTGCTGAACTGTATGATATTTGAATTTTTTTTTAACCTGTCAAACTGTTTTTCAGAGTGGCTGTACCATTTTACATGCCACCAGCAATCTAGGGGTGATCCAGTTTCTCCTTACCCTCACAAGCATTTGGAGTCATTGCTATTTTTTATTCTGTTAGGTGTGTAGTGACATTATATTGTGGTTTCCATTCATATTTCCCCAATGACTAAAAATGCTGAAAATCTTTCATGTGTTTACTTGCCATCTGGGTATCCTCTTAATTTATTTTGCCCATTTTCTTTTTTTTTTTTTTTTCCATTTTCTAACTGGATTTTTTTTCTATTGTTTAGTTTTGAGAATTCCTTATATAATCTACATAGTAGTTCTTTTTCAGAGATGTGGTTTGAAAACATTTTCTCCTAGTCTGTAGCTTGTCTTTTCAACTTCTTCAAAGGGTCTTTTACAAAGCAACAGTTTTTAATTTTGATGTTACCCAGTGACTCAATTTTTCCTTTTATGCATTGTTCTTTTGGAGTGTGAGGACTCTTGGCTTAGCCCTTGATCTTGGAGACAATATCCTATTTTTTTTTGTATTCTTTTACATTTTACCTGTATGATTTTTTTTTTTTTTTTTTTTGAGACAGGGTTTCGCTCTGTCGCCCAGGCTGGAGTGCAGTGGCACTATCTCGGCTCACTGCAAGCTCAGCCTCCTGGGTTCACGCCATTCTCCTGCCTCAGCCTCCCGAGTAGCTGGGACTACAGGCGCCTGCCACTGCACCCGGATAATTTTTTGTATTTTTAGTAGAGACAGGGTTTTACCGTGTTAGCCAGGATGGTCTCGATCTCTTGACCTTGTGATCCACCCGCCTGGGCCTCCCACAGTATTGAGATTACAGGCGTGAGCCACCACACCCAGCCGTCTATGATCTATTTTTATGTTCATTTTTGTATAAGGTATAAGATATACGTGGAGGTTCATTTTTTATTTCTTATATTTTTGGCTATGGATACACAATCTCTCTAGCACCCTTTGTTGAAAAGGCCATCTTTTCTCCATTGAATTGGCTTTGAGCCTTTGTCAAAAATTAGTTGAGCATATTTATGCGGGTTTATTTCTGAGCCTCCTATTCTGTTCCATTGTTCTATATGTCTATCCTTCTGCTAATATCACATTGTCTTGACTGAATATTTTTGCAGATAACTCCATGAGAGATATTGAACTGTAGTTTTTATTTACTGTATTTGTCTGGATTTGGTATCGTGGCAATACTAGCCTCATAGGATGAGTTGGGGAATATTCTCTCCTTTTCTGTTTGCTGGGAAAGACTGAGTATTTGTTTTCCAATAAATATACATAGATGAGGAGTTCATGTTCAAACATTTTTACTGATAGGGTACAATGTCACTAAAATTTAGATCTAAATATGGCAATATTTCCACTTATTTTCGATCAAGCTACTTATTTCATATAGCTTTGATCTTCTCATTTCCCATTTGAATGGTAATGAGCCAATCACATTTGTATTTCTATTCTTATGCCTGGAAAATTTGAAAGGCATATGGAAAATTATACTCAGTTGATAACATACCCATTTGATAATAAGCAGCACAGACTTTTCTAAAAAGGCACAGAGTTCACATTTTAAGGAGACAAATCAGCAGTCTCATGCATACAAATAAAACCAATCACATTTCCAAGTCTCTAACCCACTGGTTGTCATCTGAAGGCAATTTTTATTCCCCATAGGGGATATTTGGTAATGTCTGGAGACATTTTTTGGTTGTTTGAGAACTGGGGGAGAGGTAATCTGTGTTACTGGTATCCAGTAGAGGGTAGAGGCCAGGGATGCTGTCAAACATCCTACAATGCACAAGACATCACCTCACAGGAAAGCATTATCTGGCCTCAAATATCAATAAAAAAAACCATGTCTAAGCAGCAATCCTGAATCTTTCAATACATTCCCAACTATAACTTTGTATCTCTCTCTCTATACACATATACATATACACACACATATACATGCATACACATATATGCACATGTGTACGCATATACACTATATATACACACATACATTATATATATATACACATATATACAGAGAGAGAGGATTTTATCAAAAAATAATTAAATGATTACCCTATATTGTCAAGAGAAGAGTGCAACTCTTAAGAAAAATTTCTTTAATAGATTAAAAATGCTTTTAAAGTCCAAACTATCTTGTGGAAGTAATAAGTTACTCTGAGAAAGCCAAAAATAAATAAAGCAATAGGAACAGATGATACCTATAGACTGTGAAGGTGAAATACTGGGAAAAATGGCATGATGGAATTGTGGCTTTTAGGTTACTTCTCACCATCCTGATCCCTGCTGCAGCACTTCTCTGTTAATCGAAATGAAACAAACCTCAAAGAACTTTTGCTGGACATCTGTTGAATGTGATTGAGATATTTAATAGCAGACTGAGGAGTGCAGGCCCATAAATAGCTTTGGGTAGCATCTGACAACCTGACCATCATGTAGTATGGAGGAAAGGGACCTAGTTTTGGAGGAAAGGGACCTAGTTTTAGAGCCAAAAGACCTTGGTTTGCATTCTGACTCATCTATTAGCTGTTGATTAAGTTTCTTCATTTATAAAGTAAATAAGTAAATGTACATAACATATATTATTTTAAATAATACTGACCTGCTTTCTAGAAGGAAAACAAATACTTATAGGTTTGTTTGAAGAACAAATAATAATAATTTAAAAAACCATAATGCTTAACATAAGCCAGTAATAATTCTAAGAGCTTTATACAGATTTCAACTCACACAGTCCTTGAAGTGGGTACCAGTATTAACTTTGTTTTACAGAGAAGGAAAAGAATCAGAGAGATTAGGTTATAGATCTAAGATCACACTGCTAACAAGTGATGGATCCAGGATGGAAACTCAGGAAGTCGTGTCTCATGGTTTAGAATGGTGCATTGCCAAATATAAAAGCAAATGGTAAATGTAAGGTGTTTGTATTATGAACATTCTTAGGAAAAGAACAAAACAAAACAAGCAAACTGTCTATTACTATCCCTTCTTTCCAAGCTACTATCATTTCTTCCTAGGAGAACTATAATAGACTCTTCACTGGTTTTCCTGCCCCCATCTTGTTCCACCTATAGTTTTTCAACTCAGAGGAGCAAGAGCAGTTCTCTTTAGGGATCACAGGATCAGGATCACAGGCCCACAAGGATCTATATTTTCTACTCCTAGCTCCCTCTCTATTGGTATAAGCCATCTTCATTTCTTCTCTCCACCCTGAGGCCACACAGTCCTTCCTAATATTTCTTGAATGAATAAAAAACATTCTGCTTCAGGGTTTTTCATATTTTTGTTCATCATCCTTAGCACTCTTCCAGATACCACATCTAATGAGATGTGGACCATCTCATTCAAAACAGTAACCACTGTCAATCCCTATCCCTTTACATTGCTTTCTTTTTTCCCCCCAGCATTTATCATACCTTGATGTTCTACTGTATATTTACTAGTTCACCATCTGTATCCTTCACTAAGATGTAAGCTCCATCAGGACAGGGCTTCTGCCTATGGTATGTATGACTGAATACTAAGCGCTCATAATTTTTATCTGGCACATAGTAGGTGTTCAAGAAATATGACAATGGATTTTGAATGCATGTCACCATGAAAAAATTAAAATCCAATAGAACATCCATTATCAAATTTAATTAAAATTTAAAGCCAAAAATGTTTTCTTATGGCCTAAAAATTAGCTAAATCCAGCAAAGAAAGAACTTCAGTGGGCGAGAAGTTAAAAGCAGTTGTCCAGGATACTGAACATCTTACCCTTCTAATAAGATGTAATCATGTGATTATGTGGAGGAGGAAGCCATAAAGTAATGGCCAAATTTGTTAGTGGCACCAAGATTAAATAATTCCCTTGATAAAAAGCAGCAGCTAAGGAGGAAATGTAGATGGAGGACTTGGCCACAGGAATGGTAGAGGAAAGTACACAAGGCTAAGATGAACTAATCAAATAATAAAATTGCACAACCCTTTTATAGTTGGATCGGTGAGTCCTAAGCCCCTAATCTATTACACACATTCTCATAATGCTGAGCTCAGTCTCCTCACTAAGATCATTAGCTTCTTTCAGGTAAAGTAAGAATAATAACTTAGACTTCTTGTATCCTGCTTAATGGCCAGCATTGTCAAATGGGAGCTGTCTTTGTGTTATTTATTCAGTTTCAGGAAAGGCAGGCTTTACACATCATATAAACACAGCCGCACCCTTTCAACAGCTTCATCAAACTTGAAAAGTTTCATGAAACTGTTCTTAATAAATTCAGAAGAACATGTGAATAATGGGAAAGACAGCATGTTAGCACGAGAAAGCCAGTCCTGAAAATGAAACTCTCTGTGTTCCCGTCCAATCACATTTCTAATTAGTCCTAATACTTTAAATAAATTGTTTAATATCTGTGAGCTTCAGTCTATTTGTATGTGGGATTAAAATGTTGTGAGATTAAAATGTCGGTGAACTTTAACGCGAGAATTCCCAGCCTTGGAGCTATTGACATTTGGGACTGGATGATTGTTTATTATGGGGGCTGTCTTGTGCATTGTAGGAGGTTTAGCAGCAACTCTCTTCTCTACTTATTAGACACCAGTAGCACTCCTCTGCCCCCCAGGTCCTCATTCAAAAATATCTGTAGAAATTGCCAACTGTCCCTGGGGAGTACAACCTCAACCCCTTCCCAGTTTGAAAGCCATTGCTGCACACTTTTGGTACCTTCTTTCCTTTCCACGTCGAAGAGGTACATGCATTAATACTAAATGAGAGACTATTTATTCTCTTCTTTCAAATTATTTCCCAGAGCTTTTATCTACATAATTCCCCTTATCAAACCAGGCTCTAAGGTCTCCTAGATTTTTCTTTCTTTCTTTTTTTTTTTTTTTTTTGAGACAGAGTCTTGCCCTGTCGCCCAGGCTGGAGTGCAGTGGGGCCATCTCAGCTCACTGCGATGTCTGCCTCCCAGGTTGAAGCGATTCCCCTGCCTCAGCCTTCCAAGTAGTTGGGACTACAGGCATGCACCACCATGCCCAGCTAATTTTGTCATATTTCAGTAGAGACGGGGTTTCACCATGTTAGTCAGGATAGTTTCGATCTCCTGATCCTTCTAGACTCTTGTTAAAGACCTGGTCTGTTGTATTCACCTTGAAAAACTTAGAGACAAATTAGTTTTTTATAGTTTACCCTAGAGCTATGTGAGAAAAGTGAACTCCTTCACTGCCCTCTTCCCTCTTCTAGCTTTTTTTCACCTGTAAGTTTGTAAATCAGGACACTGTAATGATAACTCTCTCAGGGATCATTTAAGAGAGGAGCTGAGTTCACCATACAGAAACATACAATAGGTGATTATCTCTGTGGGACACCGTCAGAGATTCTGGGAAGACCCTTTCACGCTCAGAAGTAGTGTTCCAGGGAAGACCGATGATATTTCTAATAGAGTACATTCCCTACGATAAGGGCACAAAAAGATGTTTCACAAAAATATATTGTTGTTAACACTCCATGATATTAGCTGACTTAATTAGAGGTTTCCTCAGTTCACTCTCTATGGCTCAAGAAGGAAGATGGGGTCAGAGTTAGGAATGAGTGGAAATAAGGGCACCATGGTGAGTGGGGTGATGGGTAAGGAGGCTTTCTCCAGGAAAATAGAGCATTAAAGTATCAAGCTCTAAGGGGCAACCCAGTGTTTATTAAGCCCAAATGTCTTCAGCATCAGTTAAGTTAGGCAAGGCAAGCAGTGTCATGGGGAATCCAAGATCGCAAATCTACCTAGGAGACAGGCAGGCTGCCACGGATCCTACAGGCACTGATGTCTATAAAGACCTGAGCCCGCAGCTGGAATGCAGAGAAGCAAGGCCAGTTCCAGCCACTGGGAGAGTGCTAGCCAATGAATGACAGGATGCATATACTTTGGACAGTAGCCCACATTCAGAGAAGGGCTTATGTCTTCAAAGGGTCCTGAGTTACAAGACAAGCTAAGCTGAATGGACCAAGGAGTGGCCCTAAGTCAGAAGCCCAGTCATGCTAACTAGACTTTTTTTTTTTTTTTTGAAGGGGATGCAGGGGGGACAGAATTTTGCTCTCATTGCCCAGGCTGGAGTGCAGTGGTGCTATCTCAGCTCACCGTAACCTCCGCCTCCTGGGTTCAAGCGATTCTTCTGCCTCAGCCTCTAGAGTAGCTGGGATAACTAGGTGTCTGCCACCACGCCAGCTGATTTTTTGTATTTTTAGTAGAGAAAGGGTTTCACTATGTTGGCCAGGCTGGTCTCGAACTCCGGACCTCCGGTGATCTACATGCCTTGGCCTCCCAAAGTGCTGGATTACAGACGTGAGCCACCGTGCCCAGCTCATGCTGACTAGACTTAATCAAGAGAGGGGCAACTCGGTTCATCCGTGGGGGTGTAGCATCTAAGATCTTGCTGCCTTCAAAGTAATTTGGAGAAACATAAGGCCACAAGATCCTAAATCGCAGTAAATGCCTTCGGGTAAGTGGGTGCAGGATGTGACAGTCAGTGCAGATAGGAGAAGAAATTAGGAGTGAACCAGCTGTTGTAGGACATTTGTTTATGTAGCCATGAGGTTCTGGATGAGATGGAAGAAGGCAATGAGCTGTGGGCTGACATTCATCTCATAAAGGGAATCTTCCCTCAGTTTTGTGGGTAAGCTTAGGATAGGCTTGTCTAAACACTTTGTTAATTGGTCTAATCACTTAAATCAATTCATGGTCAAATCAGTGCTGTCCAATGGAAATATAAGATGTAATACGAGCCACAGAGGTACTTTTAAATTTTGGAGCTGCCACATGAAAAAAGTAAAGGGAAACAAGTGAAAATATTTTCACTAACCTATTTTAACTGAAAATATTTTAACCTAAATTATCAAAATATTATCAGTTCAAAATCTATCAATATTAAACATTTACCAATGAGCTAAAATAGTAATACCACATTACAAATAAATTAGTTGTTCGTATTACTATATTTTTACATTTACAACACATTTCAATTCAAATGCAAAATTTTCATTGGAAATATTTTATCTATTTCTAGATTTTATAAAATTTACAGTTGAAAAAATAGGTTTACATATTCAAGTTCTTCCACACTTACTTCAAAAACGTCTTTCCAATAATTAAACTCTTAACTCTTAAATAAAATTAAAATCAATTAAAGTGAAATAAAATTGAAGACCCGCATTTCAGTCAGTGACGCCAGTCGCATTTCAGGCACACGTGGCCAGTGGCTACTGTGCTTGGCAGTGCAAATCTAGGCTGCATCTCTGCTCAAGCAACATGTGAACTCTGTCATCATCTTCTTCCCTCTTATAGCCTTTTTTCATCTGTAAATTGTGTAAATCAGAACACTGCCTTGTTACATCTCTTTTATAACTTATGTGTAGAGTAGAATCTTATTTGTTTGAATATTTCTCCTCTCAAACTTTAAGAAGAAATTTCCTGCACTAGTATTCTGGGATTAAGTAACTTTTTCTCCTCTTTAGGAATGCTTTCAAAGTTTTCAATGATATCATTTCTAAATCTGAACACTTCCTGAATATAAATCCCCAATCTTTTAAAGTCAATGCTGTGTGGAATTACTTTACAGCCCCAATCAATTGAGTTACTGTTCTCTGAAACTTCTCCAGCTTTTTTCATATCTTTTATGTGGCTCAGTGATAAAATTTGAAAATAATATTATAGGTGTGGTTCAACATCTGTTTAATATAAAGGCATGCTGTGTAATCTGAAATTATATGTATCTATAGAAAGAATTTATTTTTCTTTCTTTAGACTGGAACTCTGAACCTTCTCAGCTTTTGTGGAGAATTAGGTATGTTTGTATTAATGATAAAATGTATAAAGATGATTCTCTACTCCACCCAATACATCTATAACTACACTAAAACAAGGAGATCCTCAACTGAGCACAAACTGTTAGTAGGTGAAATACTGCCCTAAGCAGAATGAGACATAACAGAAAAGCAGACATCTTTCTTCTCTAATTGAAGAGGGTCATTTATAAATACTGGTCCCCGTAGATTAGGATGAAATAATAATAATAATTTTTTTTTTTTGAGACAGAGTCTTGCTCTGTCACCCAGGCTGGAGTGCAGTGGCTCAAACTCAGCTCACTGCAACCTCCGCTTCCAGGTTCAAGTAATTCTCCTGTCTCAGCCTCCTAAGTAGCTTGGACTACAGGTGCCTGCCACCATGCACGGCTAATTTTTGTATTTTTAGTAGAGACGGGGTTTCACCATATTGGTCAGGCTGGTCTTGAACTCCTGACCTCAGGTGATCCACCTGCCTCGGCCTCCCAAAGAGCTGGGATTACAGGTATAAGCCACTGTGCCTGGCCTGAAATTATTATTGTATTTTCTAATAGCAGAGGGAAACCAGAAAAAAAGAAAAAACGGTTTGATACCAAAAGATGCTCTGAGGATTCAATCACTCTAGAAATGGTAGATTTTGATCTATTTGAGAAAGCAAAAGAAAAGGTTTAGCTGGGGACACATTGATGGACAAAAGAGACACTTCTTGGACTGGCTTCACTTTTGTGGCTCATGCTGGGAACACAGGAGATACAATATTTTACTTCTCATGTAAATGTACAGTTTGGCAAAGAACAGGTTAATTGTTGAATTCAGCAAAAGAAACTGCTGTTTCTTTGGAAGTTTTCTTACAGGACTATCTCTGATTTAGTTTTAGCCATTTTACTATTCCATCTTTTATCTATGATTTACATATTAAGAATGCAAATGCTTAATCTCTTCCTGGTCAAAGCTTTTTATACATCAACCTTCAGTGCAATCAGTTTTATACTAATACACTTACAAGCACTGTGTTAATATATTTGACTCGGAGAAATTTGAAATGATTAGAAAAAATAACATCTTAGTCCTGTTCACCAGACTTTGATTCATTTGACAGAAATTAATTAGTTCAACCTGATTGGCTCACATTAATAATAATAACAAGGGGGAACCAAATACTAAAGCTCAACAGAGAATAAGACTCATAGGGGAGGATATGAGATTCCTATTAGGCTATAAAGGATTAGCATCTTATCTTGAGTTAGCAAACAGCCTCATTTTCTTAGTCTTTTTTTAACTATTTGGTGCCCATTTTGCATTTTGCAATATATCATCTTTGGATTCATTCCAAAGCTCTCTTTTAGAAACTTTTTTAAGGTTCACTTTTCTGCCTTTAATCAATAGAATCCATCACCAATTTGAACTTTAAATACGATTATTTAAAATATCAATGCTACAACTATCAATGATACACAATATCCGTAACAACTGTCACTTTAAATTCCCCATATACTACATTGCTAAAATTATTCTTCAAACATTTTACTGAAATGAAGAAATAATTATATCTATGACCAGCAGTGACAGTAGAGATGATAAAATAACAATAATCAGTAATCATGGTTTCATTAACAGCAATGCTGAATATTTATTTCTTGGTAGAAAGACACTATTTCCAGAGTGGGGAAAGAGAGGATTTATAGACATAAAAATAGATTTTTAAAGAAAAATATCATATAACATTAATCATAGTGACTCAGATTGAAGTAACATAGGCAAATACCTTTGGTTTAATAATTTTCTTTTATCAGACAATAGATATTGCTTTATTTGTCCTGAGCACATACAACCAGAATCTACAAAGACAATATCATAACACAACCTAACCATTTATATGGATATGCATTTTAAACGGTGTTTGTGTACCTTTTATTTATTACTGTATTCCATCCAGCTAAACCCTATTATATCATAAATTGTGTTTATATGGGTTTTCACAGGTCAACCTTAAATAGTTTTAAAAAATCTAATAGATTATAAATCATATGCTTCACATGAAGGATTTTATATTGAATCGTGAACATTAAAAAGGTATTCTATTATAGCTGATATTTCCAAATTTTAGCTTGTCAATAAGTCTTTTAAAAATGTATGACATAGTATAGGATTATGCAAATAATTTACACACCAAATTATAATTATAGAAAATTAAAATATCCAGCTGTAAAACAAAGAGGAAGACAACTATTACCCTAATACTTTTCCTATGGGAATTTGGCATGGCATAGGTAATATAGAAGGATGATGCTATGATCACATTAATAAATTCACACTTTTCTTAACCCTGTCAGCCAGCTCTGTGAACATGGTGACATGTGGAAATGTGTTTTCTCACAACCAAAGGAAATATTTCCATAAAATTTGCAGATTTTTATAAACGACCTTTTTTAGCACAACTGATATGCACTAACAAGTATTTCAAAAATATTACAGCTGTTTCAGAATTTCTTTGAAAAAAACAATGCTATTCTGACAGAATCAGATGTGCCCATGAGGGGCAGCCATTCTTCTAATTTTCATTTTATTATTTTTACAATTTTAATTTTCAAGTAAACCCCTCCTATGACAAGTAATGTGTCCACAAGATAGGCAAAATAGGAGTCTTGGAATTTTTCAACTTTAACTCAATTCTCAGATGGTGTGGACTTAAAGAAAAGGGCAGATTCTACCAGTTTTCTTTAATTATGATGTCAACAATTTTTTGATTGCTCTAGCAATTAGAAAGTGATTAAATAATCTAAATTCCTCTGATATTGTATGTGTGTATATATATATAACTTCTTTTGTGCCGTTTAGCGAAGATTCAATATTTTCTTTAAATACATATTTTGTTCTAAAAATTAAATGTGTTAGAGAAGAATCAGAGACCAAGGGAGAAGAACTGTGTTGAAATCTTAACTATTCTGTAGCCATGTAAACTGGGCAATTCCATTACCTTCTCTCTGTCTTAGTTTCCTTGAGATCAAAATTGTGGAAATAGGAATCATCTTCATTAACTCATGGGATTTTCTAAAAATAAAATTATACATGAATATTATTTGAAAAGCACAGAGCATTAGATGAAAATACTGAGGTGGAAACTGAATAAAATGCTGCTGAAATCCAGTTAGGGGCAGACAGAAACCAACTGTTTGCTGATAATTTCGACAAACTTAATTTGCACAGGTTTGCCTCTTACAGCAAGTTGATACGTTCTCTGATCTTTCCCCTCCCTTCTAATTGCCCTGAAATTAATAGGTGCTCTGTAAAAACTCTTGAGGCTTTCAGCTGTGTCTTTAGAAAGAAAAACAATTAGGACTGCTTTATTCTGAGCTTTTCTAGGATCATTTCAAATGTTTTTTGAAATATACAAAAAGGTTGAGAGAGATTCAGTAGGTATTAATAGGGTGCTCACTGTATGTCAAGACAGACATTGATGGTCTTTCCAAAACCAGAATTGTCGGATTGCTGTAGACAGTGCGTGGGATTTAAGTTGTGAGAGCTGGAGAAGCAGGCTGAGGTTGGTGGCTTTTACACTGAGGTGGCCGGGGGGAGGGGCGGCACAAAGGTAGAGCATAGGAAGAAGTTGAGGGGGGAAGCAGGAGGAGAGAGTGTGGTAACACCCGAGCAGATAAACTTTTCATAATTTTGAGATATCCCACTTCTGACTATCACTTAATTCATTTTGCTCTATCTTCCAATAGATTTTGACCTATAAAATACAGTCACCCCAAGCTGGCAGGGGCCAGGGATCCCAACCAAGCCAATATGACTCTAAGGAAAGACCCCACAGCCACTGTGCTTTACTTGTGTTTAACATCAGTCTAAGGAGGCCCTAGCTTGTTCAGTCTTTTGTGAGCTGCGAGCTTTCATTCAAAGCTGAACGAACTTGCTTCCTGCTCCCTCAAGAAACTCAGAGGGGTAGAAGGACAGGAAGTACTAGCCAGTCACTAGTTACCAGTATGTTCCCTGTCATCCCCATCCTTTTACTTTGCTGTGACCTTCTCCCATTGACACTGCCAGACTCAAGGCCTCCATGATGCTAAAAGTAGAACCAGAGAATACATCTGTCAAAGTCTTGGCTTTTATTGGTGGGGGAAGACCATGATACAGATATAGAGTAGAGTATTAAGAGAATACATGATCCAGGCTACCCAGCAATCACCCGTACCAGCCCCCCTCCCCAACGCATCCTCTTTGAACGGGAAGCTGGAAGGGGTGGGAAAGAAGGGTCAGTGAGATCCTGGTTAGTATCTCTAAGACTGAAAAGAGTGGTGGGATCTTACTGGCAGAAATGCTCCATTTATGTTTATAAGGTTGAGAGTAGAGGGTGTTTTTATTCTGCTTCCCACTTGAAGCATTTATGGCATACATACCCCTAAAGAGTTCTCTATTTCCCCATGGCAGAGAAGGGTGCAGTAGAGTCACCTGTGTAGGATGGTTGGGTAGATGCATCTAACACTGTTTCCCTGAGTAGGCTGAATACCCCATCAGGGCTCAGGAAGCAGCCAAATATCTTCTTCAAGTGACCATAAGTGACAGAAATGAGACACCCAACCTGGGTGAAACAAGAGGGTTCTCTTGGTTATAATGGAGGACCCTGCAATCAAGAGGAATGGACTGGCTAGTTAAGATTCAGATGAGCATGAGACCACCTCAGAAGATGTTACCATGGGGCAGTGACAAGGCCAAGAAGAGATGGACCCATGGTCATCTCAGCAGACTGGAACAAGGAGAGAATTCTGTCACCAGAACTACGGAGAACACAAAATATGCTGAACTCAGGAACATAAACTCTGAGCACAATCGCATGCTTTTCCTACTGTATATTTTTTCATAGGTAAACGTATACTTATCTATGTATAAATATATTGTATTTCAGGGATTTTTGAGTAGGGAGGGGCTTAGATTTAGCACAACAAATAGACTACTTTGCTTGGGCTTCTTTTTGAGAACTCAGTTCAGATCAGCAATATAACACATCTTTAACAAGGGTAACTCTGAGTCCCAGTTTGCATAAAACACATGCAGTGTGATGACTACTAGCTCCCTTTTACTCTCGAGAGTGTCCTAGTTTAACAGTGACTTGTATAGTCATTCGGCTTCTAATTCTCTTTTTCTCCTCATTGTCTTATGAATGGAGTATTTCACTTTGGAATCAAAGAGATATATATGACTTTAAGATGTTGCTGTGGTTGTTTATGTTGAAAAACCTCAGTAAAATAAGTAAGAGTATAAAAGTAGATCCTCTGTGATTTGATTTGACTCTTCAGACTCCTGATATATAATAGGCCCTTCTGAGCAGCACGGCAGCTTAAATACGTTTGTACTGCTGCGTCAAATTTTTAAATGGCAAATGTATAATATGACAAATATATGACAAAGGCAAATATTAGCAAGACAGCACAAATTAAATAATGCAAATAGGAAGAACTGCAAAATAAATGTTTTGGTATATTTGGAAATTCTCCCACGATGTCACTGAATGCACTTCCATATGAGATTCCAAATGCCAAATATACAGAGTATGAACTCCCGCCTCGGGGCTTTTAGAATATCCTGGAAGAATTATGTAGGTTACTGACTTGTGCTGTGTAGGCAGAAAGATAGACTTCGCATGTGGCAGGGCAATAAAGTAAGTATTTGTCAGCTTCCAAATTGGAACCAGCAATGGATTGGCTATTTGCAACCCTGCTATTTCTATAGGCATGATACAATATCCTTTACTCCTGTGTAATGGATGGAAGGATCAATTCTAGATGTTCAGTGGCCCAGTATATCTTATCATTATAACAATCAGAAAATCTAAAATAGAGTCCCACCCAACAGGCAAGGATATCACCCAGTATCTTTCCTGAAAATGTGCATATTTGGAAAAAATGTTAAATAGTGTCGAGAATCAAAGATATTTGAAGATGCATAGTTTCGTAGGAAAGGCTGGTAGAAATGAACATCCACCCCAAGGAAACAGAAATAATTAACATGTTCTTATTTATAACTCATAACCTTTGAGATATAGTCAATATTCTTGTCCCTGCAGAGGTGGATTGAACATTTTTTTCTTTATTTACTGCATTATTCCTCTTCTAGTTTATAATTTCTTTAATTCTAATTTACCAAAACAAAAAGGCTTAGAACCAAGTTATCCATTGGAATATATATCTATAATACAAACTTATATACAATATGAAGTACAAATTCAAGTTTCTGAGGTGCTGTGTCTTTTAATCATGCATGCAAATGCAGAGCTGGAAGGCAGGATTTCACAGTTTCTCATATTTAGAACTTCTATTTATCCATTAACTTTACCCCAAGAATCAGTGGATCTGAGACAAGTTTTAAGCCCCCTTCTCATTTACGAACTGTGGGCCCTGGAGAGACAGAATTAACATTTTTAATTTTTAACTGCACTATCCGTGTAATCAGGATACCAGAGACTGCCCACAGATAATGAGAAACTGCATCCAAAGCAAATGGCACATAGTAGATGAAGATACCTTAGTCTGTTTTCTATCACATGCTCCAGGAGAAGAAAGTATATGTGCCCTAAGCAACAACTAATTAGAAAAAATATCCACTCAGAAATTTTGACAGCAATATATTATACAGAAAAGAGAAAGGGACCTCAGAGGTGACCGACATGGGCTTAAATTCTGACTCTTTCATTCTCAGGTAGCGTTCTCCAACATGCCACTTCCGTACTCTGTGATACAGTTTCCTCATCGGTGAAAAGTCAGCAGCAATCACCAAGCACTGACCCAACACTGATATCCTGTGATTCCCTCTTCTCCCCCCTTCCCTGAATACAATTCAGGAAGACTGAAACTTGATAGTTATTCTCTATTTTTCACATTACCTTTATGGCATAAACTTCTGCTTAGAGAGACAACGTAAAGGCATTCAGCTACTTGTGATACATTCATATAAGGTGTGCACAGAGATTTATGCTGGAAACTGGTAAGGAGAAAGCGACTGTATTGGGGGCCTGCAGTAAATTGATTCTGGCATACCATTTGTTGCACGATTTACTATACTCCAATTCTGTGCCAGATACCTGCTCCATCTTTAATAAAATTGTGCTGAGAGTCTTTAGGAATAAGACGGCTGTTGCTTATCATTTCAGCAGCAACGTGTAAAGCCATGCACTTGGCTGTACAGAAACTGATGAGCAAAATCTCTAATATAAAATTACCAACGTGCGAAGATTTCAAATAAAGATGCTCTCACTAAGAGATGATTTTTTCCTTCCTCTCAATGTTACGCAGTTATTTGAGGGAATCTGTGGCATTTTATAACCAGTGGATACTACTATAATTTTAATGTGCATACTTCAAATATTCAAAATAATAACAAAGAAAAAATATTGACCATCTTATATGTCCACGTGTCAATTACTTGGTCAAATGCTTTGTGTACATTGCTTAAGGATTTCAATACCTTAGGGAGTAAATATTTTATCCCCATTTTGCAGCTGAGGAAATTAAGAATCAAAAAGGCTAAGTCACACAACTCAGAAATGCAGAAATGTTGTTATCCTCTCTCCTTGCAGCTGGATTAAAAAAAAATCAAAAATCATTTCACACTCATGAGAGAGACATTATGAAAAAGCTTTGCAGAGCTCTAGTTTTAAAGAAATGTTAATGTATGCTAATTTCAAATGATACAAGTTAATTTTTAATAGAAAATTGTATTCATCTAAAGTTTTTACACGGAAAGACAAGGTAGGGAGAGAAATATCCAAGACACCAATCTAGAGGGCATAAAGACATACTTATTAGCGCCAAAATAATTGTACAACAAAGGAAGCTTGTTTGGCATTCCCTGCAACAAGTATTACAATGGTTCTAATTGTTTCTTTTTCACTTATTCCAAATTAAATCCTACAGGACTGCCTGATTCCACACATGATAAGTCCAGAGTCAATGAAATATCAAGAGGTGAATTCCTCCCTAAGAGATCACTCTTTCAGGATGCTAATCAACAGCTCTGCTCAAAGTGTTTCTGTTCAGTCTTCATTTGCCATTCATGAATCCTTTACACGCGTCCTTGCTCCCCTGACTTGAGGTGCATTGTTTGCAGGCATTTGACAAGAGCTCACTTCAACCAGGAAATATAGGGTGCAACCAGTTTGTGGCAAATGTTTGTAACACATCAAGAACACTTGTGTCCTGTCACCTGCATTTCTCCTTGGTGTGAGCAAAAAAAAAAAAACTAGTGAAAATAACGTTTCCAGAACAGCACTGTATGTCTAAAACTGTAATAAAATCAGGGACCCTGGTCCTAGCTAAAAATATTAAGACTATAGAAGAATGGAGGCTGGGAAAGGTGTTAATCCGTGCTGATTTCAGCCAACGGCCTGCAAAGCATATGAGATGATATATAGGATTTATCCCTAATTCATTCAGTCTCTCCTAAAGCTTTAAATTGTGATTGTGACATAGATAATCCTTGAGAATGATTTATGAGGACCTTACCCGAGTCCCCATCTGTTTGCACCATGAGTCACTAGTGCAAACATTTCCACAGCAAATGAAGGAAGCTCTGTGTGGGTAGTCATTAAAAAGGGACTAGGAAAAACACTAGAAAATATACAGAAGGGAGGAATAATAGAATGGCTCTCTAGGGAATCAACTCACAGTGACCTCATATTTAAGATGGATAGTGAATAATGTTGAAACATTAAAGGTAAATAAAATGCACTGAAAGGTCTTTGTTAAGCAAGGACCTCATGTTAATGATGGCTGCCAAATAGAAATATGATGGGAGAAAGCATATGGAAGGGAAGAAAGGACACTCCATCAGAAGATCAGGAAATGAAATAGTTGGTCTTATTGCATCCAAAAAGTAGATGAAATAGTGAAGATAAGGCTGCCACTTCTAAGTGCCTGATACTACAGAGGACTGGCTCTTCAAAACAGGCCGCTAATAGGTAATTTTCATCCCTCCGTAGAGAAGCTGGATGTATCTTCACATCCACATTTCCCCCATTTTAGAGATGAGAAAATAGCCCAAAAGGATGCATAAGGATCCTGTAATCATTTAACAAACTGGGAGACTCAAGAGCAGAAAAAGTCAGGCTGCGTCATTGCTATCAGTCAATCATTAACTTCTAAGCTCAACGCAGTCATTTGAACTTGTCACTAGATCCTTGATCAGCACCATCTGCATTCAGGGAGCTTGCAGTTTCTTTGAAGGAACAGAATGTGCTGTCATAAATGTATAAGGCCAAATTTAAGCAGCAAAGATGACAGGCAGTTAACAGTGACAATGGGACATCATGGACAGGAAAATGATTCCGGGTGGTACGGTCAGAGAAGATGTCAGAGAGAAGATGTGGGCACTGCTATGGACTGCGCTGTGCCTCCTCACCCTCCAGTTCACATATTAAAGCCCTAATTCTCAAGGTAACAGGAGATAAGGTCCTTACATAAGTAAAGTAAGTAATTAAGGTTAAATAAGGTCATGAGAGTGGGTCTCTAATCCTATAAATCTGGTGGCCTTATTACAAGAGGAAGAGACATCAGAGGTTTCTTTCTATATCCTGTGAGGACACAGCAAGAAGCCAGCCTTTTCAAGCCAGGAAAAGAAATCAGAACCAGACTGTGCTGGCACCTGAATATGAGACTTACTGGTCTCTAAAACTCTGAGAAAAAATATATATTCATTATTTTATTTTATTATATGTTATTTTTTGTTTTTTTGAGACAGAGTCTCGCTCTGTGTCCCAGGCTGGAGTGCAGTGGCATGATCTCGGCTCACTGCAACTTCTGCCTCCTGGGCTCAAGTGATTCTCCTACCTCAGCCTCCTGAGTAACTGGGATTACAGGCTCCTGCCACCATGCACGGCTAATTTTTGTATTTTTAGTAGAGACAGGTATTCACCATGTTGGCCAGGCTGGTCTCAAACTCATGACCTCAAGTGATCCACCCACCTTGGCCCCCCAAAGTGCTGGGATTACAGCCATGAGCCACTGTGCCTGGCCAGTATCCATCATTTTAGTCACTGAGTCTGTGGTATTTTCTTATGGCAGCCCAAGCAGCCTAAGACAAGCACCAAGGGCAACCCAAGAAAGGTCAAGGTCAAGAAAATGATAGAATCTTGATTAGGAGTCAGCAAACTAGGTCTGGCCCACCACCTGTTCTTGTGTGGCCTTTGAGTTAAGAATGGATTTTACATTTTTAAATAATTGGGGAAAAAAAGAAGAACATTTTGTGACAGGTAAAAATTATACAAAATTCAAATGTCAATGTCCATAAGTGAAGTTTTATTATAGCACAGCCACACTTATTCCTTTTTGTATTGTCTCTGGTGCTGTTTGCACAATAAAGCTGAGTAATTGCAAGATAGACTGAATAGCCTATAAAACCTAAAATGTTTACTATCTGACCCTCTGTAGCAAAAATATGTCAATCCCTGTTCTAGTCTGGCAAGCTTCTCAAAACTTCATGTGCATAGGGATCACCTGGAGATCTTGTTACAATGCAGATTCTGCTGCCTTATATCTGGGTTGGAGTTTTTGATTGTGCATTTCTATCAAGCTCCCCGTGGTGATGCTGCTGCTACTGTGTATAGACCACCCCTTGATGAGGGAGATATCAAGATCCATGTTATATAAGATCTAGACTTTCATTTAGAAGAATATCTGCCTTAATGATCTTGTCGATTACATAAGCAGCACCTACTACTAATAGCAATTCTCTTGGGATTCATCCTAAAATTTAAAAATCACTTGTTAGGGGATGGTTAGAATAAAAAAGAAAAAGATCCTCCAGTTTAGGTGTTGGCAATTGCAAACCATTGTGGAAAGAAAACTATATCAAGCAAAACTAGCATTCATAGTTTGTTAATAGTTCTGCTTTTTTAAAAAAACTTATGTTGTTCCTCTTTATATGTATGTGTATATGTGTGTATACATATATACACATATGTATATGTGTGTATACATATATACACATATGTATATGTGTGTATATATATATGCATACGTGTGTATATATATGTGTGTGTGTATATATATATATATATATATATATATATATATATTTTTTTTTTTTTTTTTTTTTGATACAGGGTCTCACTCTGTTACCCAGGCTGGAGAGCAGTGGCGCCATCATAGTTAACTGCAGCCTCAAATTCCTGGGCTCAAGAGCTCCTCCTGCCTCAGCTTCCTGAATATGTGGGACTACAGATGTGCACCACCAGGCCCGGCTAATTATTTTTTTTTAATTTTCTGTAAGGGATGAAGTCTTGTCATGTTGTCCAGGCTGGTCTTGAACTTCTGGGCTTGAGGGACCCTCCTGCCTTAACTTCCCAAAGTGCTGTGATTTACAGGTGTGAACCACCATGCCTGGTCATAATTTTTTTCATTATATGTAAAGTGGCTCTTTTCTCCTTGATTATATTCTATTCAAATCTGTTTTTTTTCATGTGAAAGAAGCAAATTCTGTATGATATGGACAAGCACAATCTTCTATTTTTTAAAGATTTTAAAATAAAACATCTAAAAGTAAATATTGAGATTTAAACTGATGAGAAACAGATTGGGTATTGCCTGTCAAAGCCCCAAAGGCTACAAAATAAATGACAAGGTAACAGCAGCCTCAGATCATTGAAATGCAGGCTGTGTTCACTGAAATTTCATATGCATGTCTTCCCTCCACTGTCTCCTTAACAGATGTCATCAAATCAGATATACAGGGCCAGAAATGAAGTGCAAATACTACCCCAGGAGCTACTGAGACCCAAAGCTACAGGCTCCCCAACTTGTGAACTACAAATGTGCAACTGTCTAGGTTTAAATTCATCAGGCAGCAGTCCAACATGTCATTTTCACCAAAAAGTAAAACCTGGCATTTTAAGGCTTTATCCTGAATAACTTTTCTGATGTTTTGACTATATTCAACCCACATATAAAACTAGCTATGCTATTTTTAAAAGTACATGGGAAAACATGTTTCATATTTCTACATTGTCCCGATGCTCATGGTTATTAATAATTAAGCTTTATTTTTGTTGTTTTTATTGATGTACATACTCTTGATTGCTAACTGCAGCACAAAAATATGAATATGAATATTATAAGCTAAAAAATTATCTTTGGCCTGTATTTACCTTGTCGATATTCTGTAGTTAAAAGGGCAGGGGATGAGAAATGAACCATGGGGGGATTCGTGATTTTACCTGAAGCCAAAATAGGGTGTGGTTTGTAATCAGGATAAGTAATAACACTGCTATCCCTTACTGAATCCTTAGTGTGTACTATGGTACATAGCATATTAAAATTAGATAATATATGTAAGGCATTTAGTATAGCTAAAGTAAGTAATCAATAAATATTTGATCATCTAATCCTCCTTATAAACATAGAAAGCAGGGTTTTCTTCCCCATTTGATAGATGGTAAAAATGAAGTCTACAGAGATCTAATTCTTTGGCCAAGATTGCATCGGACAGCCAGGGTTAGAATTCCCTGATGTCAAAGCCACCATTCTTAGCTGCTAATAATATTGTCTCAGAACAATGCATCACAACACTCCAAATTGCTAAAAAAAAAAAATACATAAATAAAAAAATAAAATAAATAAAAAATGCAGCCAGAATTCAAAGCCTTTACAGCTTCTCAAGCTCACTCAATTGAAAGACAAACACCCTTAAGATGATTTACTTTGTAAAATGACATTGTTTGAAATTTCTGCTGTTTCGGGCAAGATGGAGTAGCCTATATAGCAAACCATGGTTTCTGCCAAGATGAACTAGAAAAGTAGGAAGTACTTGCCAAAATTTGCTTAAAGACATCAGATTTTTGCTGAAGCAGTGAGAACTAAGGGGTGAAGATTTCAGAGAAAGGAAGAACTTCATAAAGCTGGGGTGATATTCTAAAGAAACTTCTCTCTTGGGGCATTTGACAATTCTTGGTGCATGAAATGAACTTAAGAATCCAACCTTCACTTGGGCAGAGACTATGGGTGGGGATAGAGAAACAAGAAGAAATATTTTTGTGGCCCTGCAGAGACAAAAACGAAGACTTGAACTGTCAGGATCCCACTTAAAAGAGGGAAATGAAAACCAAATACTGCCAGTTTTCTCAACACACATGCCAGATTCTGAAGCTACACGAGAGGATAAAAAGCTAATTACAAAGCCTCTGAGAAGCAGAATGGAGTTTTCTGACAGTCCTTTGGTGACGGAGACAAGGATTAAAGTGTGAGACCCATCAGGGGAGGGGCCCAGTTGATCTTAGTAGGCTCTTGGTTGAAAGCCATTGAGGACTCCATCCTAGAAACAAAGGTGAATGAGAGAAATATAATCCAGCCTTGATTCAGCTCAGTCCCTTATTGGGTTAAATTAGTGAGCTCCCACTTTATCTTCCTAGTAGAGAAAAGAGTGAAGGAAGACAGTGGATGCTCAATAATCTAAATTTTTATACATAGTAAATAAATTCAATAAAAAAATTACTAGGTGTGACAAGATACAGGATAATATTACTAACATGCAATTTTTAAAATAAAAACAACACAAACACAAATAGATCCACAGTGAGCCAGGTATTTTAATTAGAAGACGAAGAGTTTATCAAATACATACAAGAAAAGCAAGCTGGAGCAAACAGATGCAAAGAATGAATAATTTCATCATAGAACTGGAATTTATAAAAAGAATCCAATGAAAATGCTGAAGCTCTAAAACATAATAACTAATATTAAGAACATAATATATAAGCTTATCAGACAATTAGACATTGCATAAAACAGGATTAGTAAAATGAAGGAAGTCAATAAAAAAGCCCAGTCATTAATTGAAAATGAAAAATATCGGAAAGTACATAAAAGATGTTGGAATACAGTATAAATATCTAATATACAGGTAATTGGAATACTATTAGGAGAAAGAAAATGAGGCAAAAGCAATCTTTGAAGACATAATGGCTGAGGACTTTCCAAACTGATTAATGACATCAACTCTCACATCCGAGAATCTAAGTGAACTCCAGGCAAGATAAACACCAACACACACCTATGCACACAGGCACAGACACACACACACACACACACACACACACATCACAAACCATACCATATCATAATCAAACTGCTAAAATCTAAAACCAAGAAAACCATATTAAAAACAGAGAAAACAGGCATTTTTCTCAAAGGAGAAATAATAGTTGACCTCTCAACAGAAATGAGGAAAATCAAAGAAAATAAATTCCAACTTAGAATTCTATACCCAGCAAAAATAGCCATCAAAAGTGAAGGCAAAATAACCCATTTTAACAAAAACAGAAAGCAAGAGAATTTGTCATTAACAAACCTGCACTGAAGGAAATTCTAAAAACAGTTCTTTAAGCAGAAGGAAACAAGAAAATGCCAGATGGAATGATGAGAAACAGAAAGAATAAATATGTGATTATATTTCAAGGGAAATTAGTGTTTTATGGCCTTTAAAGTATATTTAGAATTAAAGTACATAACACATATCAGAGGACAAAAAAGGGTAAATGCAGTAAAGTATTCTCAGATTCTACCATTACTGACAGTAATAATTTCAATGTGATTGTAATAAATCAAAGTCCCATGTTAATATCTCTAAGGTATCCACAAAAAATCATAAATTAATCGGTCACTAACAAGTTAATAGGGAGAAAACTCGAAGTTATAAAATGATTAATTTTAAAAAGGTATGAAATGAAATGGGAGCACTGAAATCATTGAGGCAAATAGAAAACAAATAAAATAATATATATGAACCCCAATATAACATTAAGGACACAGAAACCTGGGCATTTTGAGGATTGAAAATGATTCACCATGCAAATATTGCCAACATAAACTATTACGATTATAATAATATCAGAACTTTCACTTTTCTGTTTGAAGAGTTTCCAGGAATATAAGCCAATCTAGAAAAGAGAATTCAATTGTTTCTTTGGGTTTTTTAATTTTTCTTGTATTTTGTGGACTAGTGCTTTTTATTGAAAAAAAGATGAGTTTACAAAACAACCGTCCTGCAGACTTCTTTGACTCTGGTCATGTTACTTGCCAGAGTCAATCCTCTAATCTTCCTGTGAGCTCATGTAAATGTAAGGTGCTAGCCCTGAAGTCTGGGAGGAGCAGCCATTCTGGAATTTCTATCACTCCCTGGAAAATGTACACATCCTTTTCTCCAAACACCCATCAGGATTTTTGTGTATCTCAGCCATTTGCTGGAAGTCATACTTTCCTTGGCCATTCCCTATGGTTTGGTTTATCTTCTAATCTGACACATTTATGTATATCTGCATCCTTTCTTTTCCTCTTTCACACCCTCTTCTGCATGCTCTGCAATTGCCACTGGATAGGCAGCAAATGAGCCTATGTCTTCAACTTTATCTCAACATGCCCCTTCACATTATGGTCTTAAGTGAACCCTGACTGCCCGCTATCATATGATTGGCTATCATAGTAACAACTTTGCAAATACCATCAACTGTCATGCTCCTCTCTTCTTTTACAGAAATCCATGTCTGGCAAAAGCCAAATCCTGGGTGTACATACTCTACCTTGTACCTTCGTTAATGAGTCTCACCTGAGTAGCTGAACATTTCTGGAGAAAAATCACACACACTGCGGGGCAACACAGCTTTCGTGTTGGGGAAGTCTCAGTTGCTCAGTTCTTATGGCAAAGTATTATGTCTTTTTTTTTCTTCCTATTAAACTTGCCCCATATCCACTTCCCTATTTTTCTTATAGTTCCTTTCACACTTCAGCAAGGAGAAATCATGAAACTCAAATCATTTCATCTTCCAACCAACAAAACTCACACCTACCTGCAAAAACATCCTTCTTCTTTCTCCTGTCTCAATGAAGAAACCACCCCTGCTTCTATTTAAGGCCACTCACTCCACATCTCATCTTTTTCTCTCAAGAACCTTGTTCCTTTAGTGATCTTATCTCTCCATCATGTCTCCCACACCTTCGTTGACCACTCTTATCAATATTGTAGAGTACCCTGGTTTTCTTAAAATAACTATTTTAATTCTACATCTATCTCCAGTTGTGACTATCTTTCCCTGTTTCCTTCTCGAGAATCGTCTACTTAATGTCTTCTCTCAAATGTTCACCAGTCCCACTACCCCCCAAGTTTCTTATCAAGGCAATCAAGATGTTGTGTTGCTAAATCTAATGAATGCAAATTTCCTACTCAAACTCTCAGAAATATTTATATATTTCACCACCCTCTCATTTGTGAAATTACTTCCCCCCTTGAAGTAAACGACGGTTCTTTCCTGGTCTTCATGCTATATCCGTGGCCCTTGATATTTCCCCTAACATCTAATCACTGATTTCCCCAGGACATGGTATTAGGGACACATATTTTTTGTCTCATCATATCCTATTATCCAATTTATGTCACACCACCCCTAGAAGACCACTCCTCTGCGCTCCAGACAGGAATCATCACCTATGTACCTCAGATACACCCCAAACATCCCAGTTTCCACTAACCCAATCTTCCCTGGCCATCCTTAAATTAATACACATCAACGTTGTAAACAAACCAGCTACTCAAGTAAACTTCCTAAGCATTCGTGAGTTTCCCTTCTCCCATATTGCATACATCAAATGTTTCAGCTAAGTCCAATCAATTGTATCTACAAAATACATCTCCTCTCCCTCCATTTTTCTGTCTTCATTGTCACCACCAAAATTCTGGCCACTACCCTCTTTCACCAGCACTATTGAAATGCCTTCTTCAATGCTCTCTGGGCTTACGCCATGATAATGCATTCTCTGGGAGTATCTGGAGAAATCTATTTTTTAAAAACTTTTTATTTTGAAAAATAAAATAAACATACTGACCTTGCCAATCACTCACACTTTTCACATGCTCTTCTCCCTATCTCCTAAGATAATTCTTCCCTAGCTCACATATTATGTCCAGGTCACCCCATAAAAAATTAAGCAACCAACTTTACTTTTATGTATCATACCACAGTTTGCAATTATATATGTGTTTGTTTGCATGTTTGATTCCTGTATTTCTCCTCCATTAGACTGCAAATTCCATCAGGGAGGATAAAATAGAGGTTTTGATCATCTTCTATCCCTATTACCTAGTAGAGAGCATGACATACAACATATTGCAGGTGTTCTAGCTTAATGGATCAATGAATAAATGGGGTAAGATAAAGAGAAAAGAGGAAAAAACTTAGTAAAATAAGAAAAGAACATTCTAGGTCTGAAAACATCTTGAAAGCCTTTGATGGAAGGCTCCATATAAGAGTGAAGAGGTGTTAAATGGAACTGAAGTTGCTTGCCTTTGCAATGTGGGCCCCCCTTCTGTGTGTATTTACTTCTAATTAATGCTAATTGGGTTTAAACCTGTGTCAAAGAAGAAATTGATTGTTTTTGTTGTTGCATACAGCTCCTGAACATCGTGTCTGAAAAGCACAACTCCTTATTTTAACACAGACTCTTGTTTCACTTTAGAAGCCATAGGTAAGCTTTAGCATTGGTCTGGAGACATATTCTTTTTCTTATCCCTCACAAGAGGTGGGGTCTTTGCTGTCCCTAATACCCCAAAACAAATAATTTCCTACTATGCAATCCAAATGTTACCAATGATGCCCAACTTCAAGGATTCTTCAAAGGAGATACACCAAACATCACAGAAAAAGGAGGGGGACTACAAAATAGGAAAAAGAATATTCAAGATTTGAAAACGTTTGAAGGTCTTTGGTGACATACAAAGCTAACAAAACAGAAAGCGCCCTTCACGGGGAAGCAAGTGCCTGGTTTCTAGTCCCAGCTCTGCTCCCAATTAGTTAAAACCAGCTATTTTATTTGTCTTAGTCTCAGTTTCCCCGTCATGAAAACAAAGAAAGTAGGTTCCAAAGATCCTTCTCATCTTTAAAATTTACAAAGCTAATTCTCACCCTAAGGTTATATTCATAAGCTGCCATGTGACTAGGAAAACAAGTGAATAAGAAAGAAAAAAACACTTTCTTACCTGCTTTCTGGCTATTGTTTCTTAAGCAGGGTCATCTCTTTTGCAAGAGGAAAACTTCCTATTTTATTTGTTGCCTCACTGCAGCATAAGAGATGACATTCTTTTCCTACCTTGTTAAAAGCTCCTATTATAGAAATTGCCAGGTCTATTAGTATATCTTAATTACCACATCTTGTGCTGCTTTTAGCCTCTAGTGGGGCAAAATTGCCATGATTTATGCTTTACTAACAATGATATTTTTACATTAGTAAGCAATTAAAGAGCCCAACAGCTCTCCTGGGAACTTCAAAAAACCGTAGAAGGACTGCCATCATTTTGATTTATATCTACACTAATTGTATGCATCAGAAAACTTATAAAATAATACAGTGTCAAAATGTTTATGCTACTCACAATAAATGTTTGTAAAAAGAGGAACATTCCACTTCATATTTACTGTAGAAGCTGCATATAAAATTAAAGATAATGGGCTCAGATGAGGTCAGATCAGGGTGATGAGTGGTGTCGGGTCTTAGACTTGTCAACCCAGCAAATTCAGATGAAAGAGATTTCATTCCCAGGTGAAGCTTCTATGTTCTGTGAGTCCTGTCTAGGACAGTGATAGGCAAATCTGATCTTCACCTGGGGGAGAGTGAGGGAAGCACCATCTTTTGCATTTTAAACAATGTGGGGACTTAACACAAATATCTATCCATTGTGGATAAAATAGCAACAAAGCAAAGGTCTCCTGGCAGCAGTGAGTAGAATCAAGGCCAGAAATTATTGCTTCCCCTCTCCAAGCCACCGGCTACTGAGAATCAATCTTTCTAATTCAACAGAAAGATTTACCTCTCACGTTTTTGAGATCTCAGCATATAACATTTATTTCTATCTCCCTCTGTGTGTTTGGTTTTATTTTGCCTTTAGCAATCTCTAAGTCCTCTAGGTTTACTATCAAAATCATACTTCATTATGCAGCAAAACCTCTGTAGTGTGTAATAATAATTGTAGAAAACTGAGGTCAGGTTAAAATATGAATCTTTGCCTTCAGATCTTTTTGAGACAACTATGTAGCCAGAAAGTTGGTAGGAATCTAAATCTATACTTTTCCTAAAGTTGACTACGGAGAGCTTCCTGGACCAGCAGCACCAGTATCATCTAGGAGCCAGTTTACATGCAGGTTCTCTTCCTACCTCAAACTTACTGAATCAGAATTTGCAATTTCAGATTCAGTACACACTGAATAGAGGATTCGTGCTCACATTAATGTTTGAGAAACATTTTAATAAAGGGTTGACAGAGAGTAGGAGATCGATGTGTGTATCAGGAAACTTTAATCATGATACCACAAGGACCATAACTCTAAAAAAGATGATGAAGAAAAAGAGTGAAGAGAAGAAGGGGGAAGAGGCGGGGAAAGGTGGTTTGTTGAAGTTATGTTGCAAAACTCCTCCTTCCCAAATTTGCTCTATATTGAACCAAATCTCTGACATCAAATTTATGGTGGATATTCTTTTCACATTTAGGGCATGCAGAGAACACAATGAACTTATTTGATCCCTAGTATCTTGCTTTAATAAAACAGTCTTATAGATGCCTCCTGCCTAGAAACAGCAAGATGTGGCAGGTGGTTTCAATGTAGCTTGAAACGTTGCATTTAAATAATCAAGTCTTGGTGTCTATGGGGTGAGACTTTTACAGCATTTTAGAATAAGCTTGGAAGGTCCCACAAATTAGAGAGCAGTCAATGTCAATTCAATGCCAGTTCACAAGAAGATCTCTAGAGAAATGACAAAGCAGCGGTCAGATCTAGTTTCATTTATGCATTTTCTCTCTCCTTTCTACCTGCAGATTTTCCTACACTAATGCAAGTGCTCAATCCACTGAATATTCTATTTCCTCATCATACAGTCCTACCTCAGATCTATCCTATCCTATCCTAATGGTATACACAAGCACATTAATATTGGAGGAAAAAACCCAGTTACGTTGTTTCCACATTCTTCTCAAGTGCTATAAGTTCATTAAAGTAGGAAGGTTTTTCAATTAAATTGTATTTAATCAACAATTTCCAGTTAAAATTTATATTTGGAACTACAGACAATTAAAGACTATTGGAGCATTTTAAGAAACATAGCTAATCAAAGAAGAGTCTGCAAAAAATGAGGAATAATTCTGGGAAAACAAAACAGTGGTGGAACGAACCAACCAAGAATAAACACAAAACATCATTTTGTTTCTTTCCTTTTAAAGTGCTTCTTTCTTTTTCTTCCCAAACCTATGCAGATGTATTGCTGACCAAGAATTAAGGGAACATTTGATTGGGATGGGAACAATTGATCATATGACATGCTTTGCCATCATCTTTCTTAGTGCATAAATCTGTGGCTTAGGAAAGATCTCAGGCATTAGATTGAACATCTTGAAGGAGACTCATCCCGATTATCCTGTTAATCAGAGAGTCTAGGTTTATGTATTTGTCAAGGAGCTGCTACAGTGGGCATTAGTGTGCTTCCTCCAATTTTTTTTTTTTTTTTTTTTTTTTTTGAGGTGGAGTCTCACTCTGTCACCCAGACTGGAGTGCAGCGGCACAATCTAAACTCATTGCAACCTCCGCCTCATGAATTCAAACCATCCTTATGCCTCAGCCTCCCCAGTAGCTGGGACTGCAGGCATACACCAGCACACCTGGCTAATTTTTGTATTTCTAGTAAAGACGGAATTTCACCATGTTGGCCAGGCTAATCTTGAACTCCTGACCTCAGGTAATCCACCCGCCTCAGCCTCCTAAAGTGCTGGGATTACAGGCGTGAGCCACCGTGCCCGGTCTACTTCCTCTAACGTTTATTCTTCTAATTAATTTAGTGCTTTTCGTTATTTCAAGTTTTTCATTATTGTTAATCACAGCATCCCAGGGAGGCAAAATGAGCAGATAGTATTTTCTCGATTTTATAGATGTGTTAACTGAAGCACTTCTAGGTACTGAGTATCTCAATGATAGAACAAAGACCAGAGTTCAGTTTAACAGCCTCCTAACTCATTGCTTAATTTTCAACACTTTGAGCCCTTCTAGTTGCATCTGTGTTTTACGATAATGAGGTGCCCTTTATATTTCTTAGTCACTGGTTGTGATACTATTGATTGTTGCCACAGTTTGGCAAAGACTGCTAGACTAACCTTATATTTGCAAAATCCAGAGATAAGCAGGTATCTTCATCCACCAACCCTCCCAGTCCACAGCATTGGAAGCATTTTCAACACTTCCCATTCCACCGTATCTGGAAGCATCTTCAAAAACGATTATTAACTCAGTTTTATTTAAAGGCTGTGGGTAAAAACATTTTATATCTTTTCTTAGTTGCACATTCTAAGTCTAAAATTTGAAACTACATTCTGCCTAAAAGAGTTTTTCTTGTTCCCTACAGAGAACAATAGCATATGTCTCATATGTTTGAGAGATAGTGAATAATTTACAAAATCAGAACGTTCTGTAAAAGACACCATTTTGCTTTGATTCACTTGTGTAGCTGCCACTGATTTTAATGAGAATTACACACATCTGTCATTGGGCAGAATCAACCCCATTATTTATTAAAGCTGAAACCCACCATTTGCCATAAAGCTTTCTCTTAGTCAATAATTAACAGATATAAGACTCGCAGATTTGTGGTTCGTATTCTATCTTTACGATGAGTAAAACATGGCGATGAAAGAAAATGAGCCAGGGAGAAATTTTCCAGGGCCATAAGTGTTATTCCTGCTTTGTACAGCAGCATAACTAGATTATCCATCTTTGTTGATTAAAAGAGAAACAAATCTCTTCAGTGATTGTTTGTTTCTTTGCTATCACACAATCTGTTACAGCAAGTAATATGAATTCATTTGACTAGTTGGTATAAATAAGCTGCTTTCTATTTTGTGAAATCAGTTGGAGGCTATAAGGTGTATATCAGGTCTAGCTGTTCAGGAATCTATATCCCTGAACTCTATCCCTACTACTCAAATGGCTGGTCAGTAAACATTACGGCATTAGTTGGATCATGTTATAAACTGGACCCTCTTGAAGACCTGTTTCTAAACGCTGGCCAGGGTTCTGAATCAGTAACCATGGGATGCTCTTCATCTGGCTTTAGTAAGTCTTGCAGGTGATACTGATGCTCACTAAAGTTTAAAATACTGTGATCTAAACTGTATCTATAATCTTGAAAAATAAGGCGATAAAATAAATATCGCTACTCAGGAGGCTGCGGTGGGAGAATCTCTTGAGACTAGGAATTCAAGGTTACAGTGAGCTATGACTGCACGAATGCTGTCTGTCAAGTGACAGAACAAGACCCTGTCTCTAAAACTAAAATAAAACAAAATAAATAAATATCAGCTGGGAAAGGATAGAAACATACCAGTGTCTTTGTTTTCTTTTCTGCATGCTTTTTTTATCATAAAAATTATATGATATTTATGATCTAAAAATATAGTTGTTTTTCAAATAAAAATTATTTTATTTTTGATTAATTTCACAGATCATATTCCACTGTTGAATTATTCTTTGAATTTAAAAGAGGTTGCTTTGCATGTTTAACCATATTCTCTTTCTGTCATTGAAACAATGTTTTCTGCCCTTTGAACTCTAGTTATTTGTTAACACCTTAATTTATTCTGGAAATTACACTGGAATATAATAAAATATACCAAATGAAACACTCATAATACGTGTACAACAGGTCTCCTGGTACTCAAGAAGAGTTGCCATTTGCTCTCCTGTATTTTGTAATTGGGGTGGGGAGTGGATAAAAGCTGTTGATGCCAGTACACAGCCAGACAGTGCATAAAAATGTCTAATAACACAATTTATCTGCTAGACTAAAATACATTTCATAAGATGGAAGAAATAACTCTTTTAGTGCTGTATTTGCCGTGCATTCTGCATTCAAACCTCCTAAAATTCTCTCCGGCGATATAGTCCATATTGCGATGATGGATAACTGATCTCCAACAGTGCTGTAAAGTGATTATTAATCTGCAAGTATCTGCCTGCTGAGGTATTCTATGGTTTTTAAGAAGTTAAGAACAATTTCTATGCTGTCAGAACCATAATAATCTTTTTGAAGCCTTCAGTGTGGGACCTCCTGGCTGTTCCATATTTCTTTATTAATTTAAGCTGTTTGCCAAGACTCTGCAGCACCATACACAGTCCAGTTCGAGAACTACAGAAGAAACCACATGTCATGTTATGAAAGAGATTGTTAGTGTACTCATAAATGCTATAGATCAGCAGTCATCATGTAGGTCCTTCATGCTCCAAGTCTTAAAGGCAAGAAGACAAAAGTATCATATCAATTCACAGAATTTAGAGACAGAAACATTGAAACCACTAAGACCGGATGATTTTAAAACAATTTCTTGGACAGGAAAGCCTGGTCTCCAGAAAAATATCAATCAGACAACAAAAGTTTTAGGCACTTAGGTAGAAACAGATAAAAGTGTCCTTCTGTGACTGGAGAGAGAAGGGAGTGAGAGCCACTCAATTTCTTTTTTTTTTTTTCCTTTTTAAAAAATTTTACTATAAGTTCTGGGAGAGATGTGCAGGTTTGATACACAGGTATTCTTGTGCCATGGTGGTTTGATAGGTGCAGCAAGCCACTCAATTTCTTTTTGCTCTTGGTAGCAATCTGTTTGGGCACTTCTATAGAAGAACTAGTACCTAGCTGAGCTCAGAAACTTCCAGTTTAGTACAACTCCTTATATCTTACAGATGAGGAAAACTGAGACCTAGAGGAGCTAAATTACTTGCACTCCAGCCTCAAAGATTATTAATAACAGAATTTCACCAGTTTCCATGTGTCTGATTCACAGTTCATTGATTTTTCTACTAAATCATACAAAATCAGAAGCTGATCAAGGAATGCTGAATGGGAAAATAATAAGAATGATAGAGTTCCTCCTGAAGTAGGGATTGGGGCTTATCACAGTTTCCGCCTCTCCCTTCAGGCAAAACAGATATAATAAAATGGAAAATAATGGCCAGAGGAGGTATGACCAACCAAAAGCAAATGTCTCTCTGCCCTGAATCTAAATGAGACTCAGACAAAGCTCTACTGTACTCTAAGAATGGGCAGACTGAGTAGGATGGTCTTGATAAATTACCTTTGAGCAGGATGGTGAAAATAGAATGCAGTTTTAAACAAAAAGAAAAAGTCCCATTGCCAGAAGGTACATGGTCATAAGGTTGGCTTCTTGATTCCTATTTCCTAGCCCATTCACATAAGTTTAAGGTGGGGAAGAAAAGTCAAAACAAAATAAAATTTAAATCAATATTATTTTTTCCCAGAGCATAATGCTACAAAAATGGAACATTCAGAGAACAGAAAGAGCTCTTAGATATTAAAAACATATGGTAGCAGAAATAGCTAGAAAATGAACTTAAGAGATCTCTCAGAAAGTAGTGCACAAAGATCAAAGAATAGTAAACAGGTGAGAAAAGATAATAAAAGCAGAACAATACTAGAAAATCCAACATTCGAAGAATAGGATCTCCAGAAAGAGAGATCAGAACAACAGAGAAAATCATCAATAAATTGAAAAAAATTTCACAGAACTGAAAAGCATGGTTTTCCAGATTGAGAAACCCAGGAAAAGCCTAGTACAGTTAGATTAAAAGTACTTACATGATTCTAAAAAGACTGATGAACTGAGGCAAAAAGAATTTACAAGACTCCAGAGAGGGAAAAGATCACATAAAAAGGGTCTGACATGAAAATTGCTTAGACTAGTTTAAGCTAGACAAGAATATAATGCCTTCAAAACGTTCAAGAAGTATGATTTACAACCTAGAAGTCTATTTCAAGACAAATTGTTAATAATATTTATAAGTAAAATAAGGACATTTTGGACATGTGATGTTTCAGAAAATTTACCTTGCATTTTTTTCATTAAAAAAGTGCAAGGTAAATTTTTCTCCAACTATTGGAGAAAGTGTTCTACTTTCTCTGAAGTATAATAAACTGAAGAAGTAAAATGAGAATAGAAGCTAAAGATATAGTTGGCTGCATGGCCCTCCAACAGATATGTCCACCCTAGACCTGTGAAAGCGATCTTATTTGGAAAACAGTCATTGCATATGTAATTAAGAATCTTGAGATGAGGTCATCCTGGATTTAGGGGCTACCCTAAATCCAATGACACACATCCTTATTAGAGGAAGGCAGAGGCGGATTTCGCAGAGATACAGGAGAGAAGGCCATATGAAGAGGGAGCCAGAGGTTAGAGTTATATAACAGCAAGCCAAAGCATGTCTGGAGTCACCAAAAGCTGGAAGAGGCAAAGGAGGATTATCCCAGGAGCCTTCGAGGGAGAGCATACTATCACCTCCATTTGAGACTGCTGGTTTCCATAGCTGAAAATAAATACATTTCAATTATTGTTAGTCCCCAAGCTTATCATAATCTGTTAAAGCAGCCCTAGGACAGCAGCCCTAATACAAGGGGATATGGAAAATGAGACATCCAACATACGAAAGGGGTAAAGAGAATCATTAGGATGGAGGTGAAGAGAGATCACAAAATAACTGCAGCAAGTTAAGAATTGGCTCTGGAAGATAAATCTTCAAGAAGGCTGTTTTGGATTGAGAATCTATGTAGTTCCAAGATTCATATATTGAAATTCTACCCCAAATGTGATGGGATTAAGAGGTAGAGCTTTTGAGAGGTCACTAAATTGTGCAAGGTGGAAACCTCATAAATGGAATTAGTGTCCTTATAAAAGGGACCCCAGAGAGCTTTCTTGCTCCCTTTCTACCATGTGAGGATACAAGAAGGCCATCTGCTAAAACAGAAACAGCTCTCATCAGACACTGCATCTGCCAGCACTTTGATCTTGGACTTCCCAGACACGAGAACTTAGAGAAGTACATGTTCGTTGTTTACACCATATAGTATTTGGTAATTTGTTATAGTAGCCTGAGCTAAGACTATGACATTAATAGACTCCTTCCTGGTGACAACTAATGTTGCAAAAGGAGATTTAGGGAACTGGCAAATAATTTGGGGTGAGGTACTTAGGTAATTAAGCAAATACAATTTAGAATGAAAAAGTAAATAAAGATTAGTGAAGAGTCATAGTAATGTAAATAGTGAGTATTGTTCTAATCAAAATTATGATACAACTCTATTAGGAGGATTAGGGGTGGAAGTGAGTGCATGTGCAAGTGCAAGTGTTTGTGTGGTGTGCAGCTGGGTTGGTATTAAGCGTTGCATATGGGTGGGTGAGTGGATATGGCGGGGCAAAAGTGGGGAATGAGCAAAAGCCTCCTCTTTGATAAAACGAAATCCCTGACGCTGAAAGTTGACTAAAACACTATTTAAGCATGTTAGTGATATGGTAGGAAATATCAAATGGATCCTCTGGAAAGTAACAATACATTTTATAATAATTTAATAAGATATTTAATATTTAATGAAATAAATATAATTTTAAAGCTAAATAATTTTAGTAATACATGATCATACATTTCAGATTTTTTTGATAATTTACTCATTTATTTTTCTTCAAAACGATCTCATGGGGAGGTGTTATTATCCCCATTTTGCTGATGAGGACCTTGAGGCAACATACACAGCAGACAGTGTCAGAGCCAGATCTGGACCCTAAGTCGTCACTGTTAGAGTTCCAACATTAACCTCAGCATTTCTTAGAAAATATCAGGAAGGGAATCTGGACAGGCTGTTTAACAAACCTGTAGAACTAGTAGACTCTTTATGTATGCACGTAACCTTGGTTTAAAAAAAAAACTGCTGGAAATACTCCATCAGAAGATGAAAGTTGTGTCTATGCATTTTTTGGTGTTGAGTCTTTGCCTCAAAATCAGAGTAAATCTGCGAGTAGGGCCGGGGGTGGCGGGTAGTACAGCAATAGAGGGAATGTAAGTTTCCCTGGCCAGGTAAAATCTCAGTCTCACCTACCCTTGGTAGATTAAATAGCAAATGTTGTAAGGTGGAAAGCACCACTCCCAGGATTGCAGGTGACAGCCGGAAGGTGGCCAACTGTGTGAGCCCAAAAGGAAAAGGAATACAGCCTTGCAGCCACATGCGCCAGGCTGGCACGCACCTCTACAATATTTGCATTCTTGTGTCAACACTTCACTCCCATGGGTTGAACCAATACCTAAGCCTGAGAAAGTTTAAGAATTTGAAGAAATTAATTTGCATGAAAATGAAGTAAAATATTTAAACCTCAATAAGTATGTTTGCTTTCTTTAGTTGTGCCTGAGTTTACACACAAAAATTATCTCCATTATATATGAAATGAGTAGATGAGGTATTCAAGGACATCTTTGTTAAAAGTAATAGTTTTTTTCATTTAATCTCTAAGATGTACATGGTGAAAGAAATGTTTGAAAAAGGAAATAAATTACTCTTAGTAATTTTAAAGAGATGTTCCTAAATACTTGGACTTCTCAAAACAGGCAAATGAAAAGGAGGCCTGGAGTTTAGAATTAGATTGTTGAAAAAAAATTGGGGGGTATATTCAAATCTCAAATACCATAGTGAATTGGCTAATTTGGATGACAGGGAAGAAATCCAAATAAGATTAAATTATTGCAGCTTCAAAAACTATAGATTCTTTAAATCTGTGGCTGCCAAAAGGGCAAATTCAACCAGAAAACACAAAGACACCTTTCTTGCATTTCTAATAATTGAAATAGTTAATATTTTATGAGTATTTATTAGGAACAACGTACTGTTCTAATTACTCTGCAAATATATTCACTCATTTGTTTCTTACAAGCTTATGAGATTGGTGCTATTAATTTTATCACTGTTTTTATACAAAGTGGCATGCACAAACTCAGTGGGACACTTGTGTTGATAGATCCCTGGTTCTCTACCAATGCACTTCTAAGGAATAGGTTTGCTTATACATATGAGAACTCAGACCTCATAAGATCTTTCTCTTTGAAGAAAACGTATGTTCTAGGGGTATATGTGGTCATTCACAGTTCTATTGTTTGTCTCACTTTAATAATGTCCAGAAACAAGAAAAGAATCCTCATTTTAAGCCAAAAATTATTAAAATAAGTAGATAACCAAGGTATGTAGATCTATCCCCTGTTCTTATTTAATAAATTATTTAGCAGTTTGTTTGTTTTTTCTTTCTGGAATATTAGGCTAATATAATATTGAATAGTAAAGATGGTAGAAGAGAAAGAGAAAGTCCTTTAGATTTAAGCTAACCCAGTTCCAAATGTCAGCTCTTATACTCACTGGCTGTGCAACTTTGGGCAAATTCCTTCATCATTCTGAGTCTTAGGGGTTAATAATAAATGTGACTGTGTTGTCAAGAGAACTATATAGAGGGCATTACATAGAATTGATGATCCATAAATGTTAGCATTTACTTAGGACTAGTAGGAGGGTCTATTGTCAGGATATAGTTTGCTACCAATCAAAAAATAGCATGGAACTGAGAGCAGAAGTCGTCCGTGAAATACTTCTCTTAGTATGGTTAAAACAGAGCTCAGAACCCACGAGAGAGAAAAAAAGAAATTGTCTCCCAAGATTCACTTCAGTGTAGGAAGTCTTCATTTTCCTTATTGATTTTCTTTTTATTCTAGCCATGTTGGTACAGAAAAGATCAAACTTAACAGAAAATGTTGTCTGCATTTGTCCTCAAATTACACTTGAATGGATTAGCTAACAATCATAATTTTGGAATTAGTGTGTAAGGAAGAGAGTACCACTTGAAATAGAACTTAGTGAGAGGAAGGGAGACGGGGGGGGGGTGGAGGGAGGTAGGGAGTGAGAGAGAGAGAGACAGAGAGAGAGAGAGAGATGAGGAGGGGGAGCCAGGGACACTGGTACACAGATTTTGTAGATGTCCTAGTAGCTTTAATTGTCCAAAGAACATTCCCAAAACCATTCACAAACAAACTACAGGCTACAGATGAAAATTTCAAATTAAAGACCAAGGGAATATGAACAAAATGTTTCCACAGTGCTAAGTTAAATTTTTCAAGCTGGTGAAATGTGTCTTTGGTGGTAAGTGATTTTTCTAACAGGCAGTAACACAAAAGGTCACTTTAGAAATATGGCTTAAAAAGATAGATTAAATCCATCCTCTTAAGAAGAGAAAATCTATATGTGCTTAAGTATTTAAAAGATAAGAAGCATTGGCCCTTTACAATGAGCCAGTTGCTGTACTAATATGCACTGTACATATCTCTCCATATCATTTAACTTTCACAAACAAGTCTATGAGGTAGTTACTATTATTCCCACCATTCTAAAAAATGTAACTAACTTGTCCAAAGATAATACCTCTCAGGTGGTAAAGGTGAACTTTTTAGCAATTGAATGCCAGAAGCAACAAGTTTCATTCCCATGCCAGCAGAGCCATTTTTCAATTGACATGGTATTACCTATGTCATCTAGCACAGTGCCTGATACGGTTTGGATCTGTGTCCCCTCACAAATCTCATGTTGAATGGTAATCCCCAATGTTGGAGGTGGGGCCTGGTGTGAAGTTACTGGATCATGGGGGTGGATTTCTCATGAGTGCTTTAACCCCATCTCTTTGATGCTGTCCTCATGATAATGAGTGAATTTTCTTGACATCTGGTCATTTAAAAGTCTGTGACATCTCCCCTGATGATCTCTCCTGCTCCTGCTGTGGCTATGTTATGTGTCTGCTCCCCCATGGCTTTCTGCCAGGATTGTAAGTTTCCTGAGGCTTCCCCAGAAGCTGAGCAGATGCCAACAGCATGCTTCCTGTACAGCCTGCAGATTCATGAGCGAATAAAGCCTTTTTTCTTTATAATTTACCCAGTCTCAGGTATTTCTTTATAGCAATGACAGAATGGCCTAATACAGTGCCTTTGCATATAATAAGTGCCCAGTAAACACTGAACATTCCTCTACAATTAAAGATATTGGAGACTTGTGTGAAATGCACCCATGAGAAGATTAACTCCTTAAATCACAATTACTCATAAACCCTTCAGCAGGGATTCATTTATCAGATTAACCTAGCAGAGAACATAGATATGAGGAAATAGGTCAAAGAAAAGACACATTTGATATGAGAGGAAGAAAGATAATGGTGATAGTATAGGATACTTCCTATTGAGGGCACAACCATAGGGTACTGATGTCAACATAAAAAATCAAGAGAAATTAATCTCTAAGTAACAAATTTCATTCAAAAATAATATATAAAATGTAGGATTGTAACCCAGGATATACATATAGACCAGGGACCGGACCTGGTGGCTCACTCTTTTAATTCCAATACTTTGTGAGGCCAAGGTAGGAGGATCACTTGAGCCCAGAAGTTCGATAGCAGCCTGGGGAACAAAGGGAGACTTCATCTCTACTAAACATAAAAAAATTAGCGGGGTATGGTGGTGTGTGCATGCAATCCCAGCTACACAGGAGGCTGAGGCAGGAGGATCACTTGAGCTCAGGAGTTTGGGGCTGCAGTGACACATGTTTGTGCCACTGCCAGCCTGGGAACAAAGTAAAAAGTTAGGGTTTATTGGGGAAAGAGGAGGTTATGAAAGCTGTTTTGAAATCAAACTTATTGGTGCTCACAGTGTCTCACAAGAGCTGGAGAGTTCTGATTGTCAAACATTAGGAATTGCTCAATAGAACCTGTGATCTTAGAGTGAAGGTTAGGCCCTTGCAGTTTGGAAGAGGGTTTGTGAGATGGGGTGTTGGGCGAGTGTTCTGCATAAGCATCTGCCTAGCCTTGTGGGGCTGGCAGCCCTTGTGTGACTCCTGTAGAAAGCTATGGTTTGGGAAAATTTCTTGTGGAAGTCCCTGTTACCAGGCAAATCATGCATGAGAACACTCACTTCATGGCCTTCTCTGAACCTGTTTTGTCAGAGTTTGACACAAGTGACTTCATTTTGATTCCGACAATTTTCACACTGGTTACCTTTGGCATTCTGTCAGGAAGATGGTAATTCAGATGGGAAAGAATAAAACGATGCTACCTTCCCCTCCACTCATATACCTCCTCCAACATCCCTTATGTGACTATAGGGCAACCCTGTGTCTTGGCTAGTATTGATGGCTTTGGTGAACCACACTCAACCATATCAGAATCCAATCTCTTCGCATGATGCAGGGAATGGTGATCCCACAGTCAAGTCCATTCTTTCACAGAAGATGGAGATTGATGATACATAAATCAAGCCATCACCACCATGTCTCTACATAATAACGTAGTGGAAAACGTTGACCCACAGTGAGAGGAAATGAATCCGTCCTGCAGAGGGAGCAGCCAGAGGATGAAAATCCTGATGTCACACAAATGCCTGGTTCTGGTTTTTGAGGCCAAGATGCTGGCGGTCTTTCCCATGGCTCGGTGTTGCACGGGCTGCCTTGTATATAATTGCTTTATAAGCTCCCTGCTAAATTGTGTTTGACTTGCATACAACTAGGACAGAGGAGCCAATCCTCTAATACTGCACTTTCAGCTTACTCTCCTATTGTTTTACCAAAGCACTCATAAGTGATGCTCGACAAAATTCCCTTACTTATGTCAGAGGTAATATGTGCCTCATCTTACCATCCAAATTTAAGTCTTACTTGAATAAGAAATAGAATCCAACTGCAAGGTTTTTTTGGTAGCAGTTAGCCTATCCTGACTATTGCAGACAGTGACTTATCCAGAGTCATACACAGCTCCTTAGAACCAGACCCCGGACTAAAATGGGAATCTTGTTCATTCAAGGCAGTGTCTTAGAGACACCACATTAATTTGTAACAAATGTTTAAAGGTGAAAGAAAGTAATTAAACTTTTATTCCCATCTAAATGAATGCTTTGACTAGACCAGCATGCTTAAAAGGCAGTGGTATTATATGACAGATTATACAAATGAAAAGCTTGCCATAATCTGCGCAACATTAAATGAATAAAAGAAAAATTACTGCCTTCGGCTCAGACAGCATTTCACATCCGTTTAATTAAACGCTCACACGAATGCACACACAAACACACACACGCCCCTAAACAATCGCAAATCTAAATCTAAGGTTTGTTATGCCGACAGCCAGGTGATTTGAAATAAAACTTCAAATGGTTTCTGTCAGAAATGAAAAAGAACAAAAGGGAAAAGAGACAATGTGGCCACATTTATGGAATATAAAATGTGATTTAAGCCCTCAGGTGCTGAAGCTGCAAGTACCTTATTTTTAGCCTGGAAACTCATGGAGGACAGATTTTGATTTTCATTGAGCCTGTGCTGTAGGTAAAGAAGCTGATTTTTGTGAGACTGCTGGTTGTATCTACCTCTGGAGCTTTGCTTCAGTTGTTTCAGGATTCAAATGTTTGAAGATGGTATCAAAGTTCTTTCCAAAATAGTGCATGCAGCTGTTATCTGGAAAAGAACTAATCTTCTTGGTGAAATTATTTCAAAAGATTTTCTTCAAAGCATATAAGGTGAAGAAGATGGACTAGAGTTGGAATGGGAGCAGATGGAGGTTGAAATCCTGATTGAAATCAAGATCTGAGTTTCTGGGGTAATAGCAAATAATCTATATAACCAGGCAAAAAATGTTGTTTTGAGAAATTCATCATTATTACTCTAAGCTAATAATCTATCCCTTGTTCTTCATGCCTGTCCTTAATATTGGTCACTCTCTCCTTCCCTCTTTCCTCTTTTATATTCACAACCACACAGCTCGGAAAGGTATGACAGAGAATCAATCACTTCTAATAGCTGAAATGGCAAAAACCCTTTCTGTCTTAGGTGGTTGGTAGAAAGGAGATGCTGATGAGAAGAACTCGCTTTGCCTTTAAATAAAAACCCTCCCTGTCCCCCACCCCCATAGAAAAAGACACTTGACTAATACCTTCCTGTATCATCAACTCCATTCCTTCCTGTTTCAAGCATAAAAGTAATTACGGGCCAAGCAATAAATATCACATTTTTTATCTTGACAGAAAGCAGGAATGATACAAGAATTTAATGGTATTATTTATTATCCACATTGTACACATTATTTTCTGCCACTATTGGAGCTCCATGTTCATTTTCTTACAAGTAGTTATTTTCATATTAGCTTCACCCTGACAGTGCCTACTGAATTTGAGTGTTTTTATAAAACATTCTATTTCCCATCTGGAAGTTAGTAGAAAGGGCTTTAAAAATCCCCATAAAGTTGCTTAAGTATTATCTATCTCTAGACATGAAGAAAGTAAAATGCAGATAGATGAAACATTTCCTGGGTTTCCACTCAGAATTTCAATGATTAGATGTCAGGCCCTTCACTTGTCAATGTGGGGGTAGGAAGTTGAGATCATGATGACTGAAATTATGATCAGTTCTCACATAACTTATCTGTGTTTTCTTATGCAAATTGAAGAAGCTCCAAAGAATAACTAATATCAGAGGAGTGATTTACTTTCCAAAACTTTAGACAATTTAGGGAATGAGAATTTTAAAGACCAAATGGTAAAGTCCATTGAACAATGGTCTAAAGATAACCGGTGTTGGGGTCCCCATTTCACTGTCCTCCATAAAGGAGAAAGTCTTTCCCGTGGGCTCTCTGAGACAGAAAACCATTATGATACAGGAGGAACCAGATGGAGCGGAAGAGATCTGAATTCTTATCCTGGGTCTGTCTCTAACAAGTTCTATAATCTTGGAAAATTTACTTTACTTTTCTAGACCTCTGTTTCCTCACCTATAAAATCCTGCAACTCTACAGGAATCACTGTTCAGAATGGAGGCTGTGGCCTCCTGCAGTTGCAGGGACAGATGAAGTCACAACCTCAGTGAGTTCAGCCCATGAGAGAAGTTTCTGCTTTCATCACCAGGCAGAAAGACCACGTAGCCTGCCATTTTAAATCCATTATTATCTCAAGCTTGAAGCCTTCAACTGATGCCTCTGACAGGCTTGAAATCAGCAAATGGGACTTGGAGAAGGCAGAGGGTAAGCATGAAAAGTTGGCTAATTTGGAATCCTGGATTTTCTTTTCCTTTATCCCTCTTTTAATGAGTCTTATAAGGCCTCTAAAATCTCCGCCACCAATGACAGCCTCCTACTCCCCCGACTTCCCCTCCACCTTTAAACCAGTGTGGTAATGGTGTATGAATTGCTTCTCTCTCTTTCTCTCTCTCTCTCTCTCTCTCTCTCTCTCTCTCTCTAGGTCTGTTACAATTATGTATGGAAAGTTGAAGTGATTTCTTTTCTGCTTAAGTTGTTAATGTAGCTTAAGGAAGGGCTCAGTTGTCAGCCATTCTGAGGGTTCAATATGATTTATCCTTAAAAACCTTAGAGACATTGCAGTTTTTAGCAGCATTATATCACTTGATTAAATTTATTTTTTTTAAAGTTTGCCTGGAAGAAGGAGCAGTAAAAAAAAAGAAATGTGGCCTATAAGTGCAGTTCAGGGTCACTGCTGCTCCTGAGGATGTCAGAAGAGGAAGGTGGAAGGGGCTTTGGTGGAGTTTCCATTATCACCATTTCAAGAGTCACTGATAGGAGGGATTGAGTCTAGGGCCACAATCAATGACTCTGCTGAGGAATAAAACAAAGGTCTTGAGGGAAAGTAAAGTGACTAATATGGTTTGGCTGTGTCCCAACCCAAATCTCATCTTGAATTGTAGTTCCCATAATCCCCAAGTCTTATGGGAGGGACTAGGTGGAGATAATCGAATCATGGGGGCAGTTTCCCCTATCCTGTTCTCATGATAGTGAGTTAGTTCTCACGAGAGCTGATGGTTTCATAAGGGGCTTCCCCCTTCACTGGGCACTCAATCTGCTCCTTTCTCCAGCTGTGTGAAAAGGACATATTTGCTTCCCCTTCCACTATGATTGTAAGTTTCCTGAGGCCTCCCCAGACCTGCAGAACTTTGAGTCAATTAAACCTCTTTCCTTTGTAAATTACCCAGTCTCTGGTATGTTTTTATTAGCAGCATAAAAACAGATTAATACAGTGAAATTGAGTTAGAAATGGAGGAAGGTAATGGATCATTGGAGATGCCAATTGACTTGAGAGACCAGTGTCATCAAACAATTGTTTAGAATCCTAGCATTTTAACTGGAGAAGCAACATGGAAGGCCACTTTGTCCTGCTTTTCCTGTAAGATGTGAGGTCTTAGAATGAATGAATGGCTGGGAGCTTTGGCAGCCACAAACCTGGCAGCAGAGACCAGAGCCTGCCTGTTTTGACTCCTAGTTCAGTGTCCTTTCCACTAAACCATGAGCAGGCAGAAATAAGCTTCTAAAAATAATGAAAACATTGAGTGGATTTCAATCAACAGGTGATTTTGAAAACAAGCTTTGTGTTTTTCAAAAATCCTGTTTGCCTACCAGTAATGAACTTTTCTAAATAAAATTTTCAGAAATATTAGCTCTGTCTGAAATTTGAAATACTCTTTGTTCCTTTGGTTTAAGGCTCTACGAAATTAAGGGTCTTTAATTTAATTTAATTTATTTATTTTTGAGGCAGGGTCTTGCTCTGTCACCCAGGCTGGAGTACAGTGGCACAATCATAGTTGACTGCAGCCTCAAACCCCTTAGCTCAAGTGATCCTCCCACCTCATAGACTCCCAAGTAGCTGGGACTATAGGCTCATGCCACCTTACCCGGCTAATTTTTAAATGTTTTTTGTAGAGACACAGTTTTGCTTTGCTGCCCAAGCTGGTTTTGAACTCCTGGTCTCAAGTGATTATCCCACTTCAGCCTCTGGAGTAGCTGGGATAGCAGGCGTGAGCCACTGCTGCTGGCCTTAAGGGCCTTGGAAATACAAATATGTTAACAGAGAGAGAACATATATTTAGATCTAGAGGACAAAATGCATTCTGGAAATAAATTATTCCTTATTCATTTTGATACCCCGTTGAAAATAGCACAGAGTAAGTCTGCAATAAGAATTAGTGAAATAAATGGCAAAGACAAACGTACTCCAACAGTAACACTGCATATTCCTCCATCAGATTAGCTTTGGTCAACCAAGCAGATCACTGACAGTAAAGGAGCTAAGACTAATTGCTTTTGATGGGATAAAAGAAGCCAGATGAACACAGATGGTGGGCCTGAAAAGGGAAGGAAGCTGGGTTGGTGGGGAGACAGGGGATCCCAGGACTAGGAACCGTAAGGGGAAGGGGAGAGGGTGGTAGGAGGTTTTGTCTATTGAGGGTAAAAGGAAGCTCACTTTTGACTCATTTCACTGGACTGGAAGAGCCCTGTGAGACTATCACACCTTGCTCAAAATCCATTCTTGTACAAAGTTGCACTCAGGGTGCATGGCATGAAATTAGGAAATGGTGTGGATGAAAATCTAGTTAATAAAGACTCCAGGATACTTTATGTAACCCCACTCGGTGCAACTTCTGGAGGACTTCAAGAAGATCCCTTCCTCCCTTCTCTCAGCCTCATGAAGCAGTGAGGTCATTCTTCAGCAGCGAAAACTGACTTCATTGTTGGAGACTCCTTTTCAGTTTTCTGCCCTTCACATAAGACAGAATATCAAACATTTCTCTATGAGGGAAACAATAATGAGAATTCAAGGTTCAGCAAGGTTACACAAAGTATTCCAAAACCATTGAGAATGGCCATTCTTTATTAGTCTTGTCCATGATTTTAAAAGCCTCTGTAAGGCTTATCTGATTGCAGGACTTAGAAGTACCTGTGAGCGGAAGCTGCATTCTTCGTCATTACTCTGATATATATTTACTACAGGTTCACTTCCTTTAGCTCTATATAATTTTTTGTCCCTCATGCCGGGATTTCAGCTTAGAAATATATTTCAAGTTATCACCATAACCCAGAGTTAGGTGCTGCTGAAATAAGTTTCTTAAGAAGAATAATTTCTGTTGTTGTTTTCATTTACATTTACCTAAGTCGATAGAATGTAATCTTTCTTACATGATTTGTTTAGTCTAATCAAAATGCTGAAGCATAAGTGATAACCCTCCATAATGATACAAACTGATGAAAAAGGTCTGCACGTGTTCTCTTTTACATATCAAAGATGAAATCAGCCAGCAGAGTAAGTTTTATTTATTTATATTTTTTGAGATACAGTCTTGCTGTGTTGCCCAGGCTGGAGGCTCACTGCAGCCTCGGCTTCCTGGGCTCAAGCAGTCCTCCCACCTTAGCCTCCTGAGCAACTGAGACTACAGGTGTGCATAACCATGCCTTCCTAAATTTTTGTTATTTGTAGAGACGGGGTCTTGGTATGTTGCCCATGCTGGTCTTGAACTCCTTACTTCAAGTGATCCTTCCGCCTCAGCCTCCCAAACTGCTGGCATTACAAGTATGAACCACCACGCCCAGCCAGGAGTTGATATTCTATTCTCAGCGTGTGAACAGTTATTAGACTAGAACTCACATAATCTATTGCCCAGGAGAAGACTGAGGATTGCCTCAGTACTTCGAGGTCAGCATTAGTGGAGTTTCTTCTTTTTCAGTGCCTTACAGCAGATTATGCCTATCTGTTACTGTAAATGGCAGTTCTTTAATGTTTAGTGTGTTTGTGACACAAAATTTGATTTGAAGGTTACAGCCCCTGCCCTCAGCATTTAATTCTAGAGACAATAAGTGCGTTAAAAAGATCAACAGATGATTCATAGCTTAATATTGTTTTAAACCTCTCAGAAAATGTGATACTTTGTTTCCCATTAGGGAATGTTTATTTTGTGTGTTGGGATTTAGCAAACAAAAGGGGACACTCGTACAGGAAGTCACTGGGGTTCCTGACTTATGTATTTGAAAGTCATCCATTGGCTGAGTTCTTAGAAACCCCTCAAATAAAATGTTTTCTGTCATACTTCTGTAATCCACTTCTGCCTCTCTGTGGGCATTACTCTGACATGACTACTAATCTGATGGATCCCAGAGTATACAGACTAAGTGAAAAGACTCAGATCCCTTCCTCAATGTTACAAGAGATCTGAAAGTCACACAGAATAATCTAGGATATTGGACCAGAAAGGTGAATGCTGTCAGGTACATTCTAGGTCTTGCAGGGAAAATGTTCACAATGCATATCTCTTCTTTAAATTCTCTGGAACCCAACTTCTGCAAAAGGGGAGACATTCACAGTCCTACTAAAAATGTTCTTTTGTACATATTTGCATAAGCTCATAATAAACCTACAGCTAACTGAGCCAGGGAGCAGTGGGAGGAGAATCAGGGCTATTCCTAAGGTGCCGAAGTCTGTCAAATCCCTGGTTATATTCTCCTTTTAAAGATAATTTTTCCCATCTATTTCCGGCATTTTATACATTTCTAAATATTCTTTTTATCTGTTTCTTCACAATCAAATACATATTTGACTGACTGTGCCAGAGGCAATGTCCTATAATCAACAAATCCCATGTGTTTTCTCTCTTGAGCATAAGACCAAGCTCTGCTTCCTAGGCACTTCTGCCATGTGAGTAAAATCTGTCCAAAGAATATGATCAAATGTGATGTATGCCACTTCCAGGCCTTTCTCCTCAAATCTGTATGCTCTCCTTCCTCCAACTGGTGTTTTACTCTTCATCTGGCAGCTGGAGGCAGGGGATTTGCTAGAGGACTGTGAGGTCCCAGTAATGCAGGGCCACTAGGAGAAGGATGCCTGGATCTCTAAATCACTATATGGAACAAAGAGAGATACTTACTGACTCACATTTTACTGTAATATGAGCAATTAAAAAGCCTTATTGAGATTGTGTTTGTTACAACAATTAGTATATCCTGATTAATATACCAACCTAAGTCAGGTGGGCACCCAATTAAAGCTAAAATTTTACAATTTTTGTAAAATGTAATTATTTCTGTGATTATCAATGTTTATTAGACTGTATTTCTTTTTTATCATTAGTATAAGTATTAGCCTCCCATTTTCCACTCATTCTTATAAAATAAGTATATTCAAATATTCAAACATATATATAAATGCCTCTCTATAGGCTAAGATGGTTATATTGTCTAAAATAAACTGTTGGCTAATAGCAACACCATTAGGAGATAGCTTGAAAATTGTTTTCCAGCTGGGCACAGTGGTTCATGCCTGTAATCCTAGCACTTTAGGAGGTGGGCGGATGGCCACCTGAGGTGGGCAGATGGCCTGAGCTCAGGACTTTGAGACTACCCTGGGCAACAGAGTGAAACATCATCTCTACTAAAATACAAAAAATTAGCCATGCATGCTGGCAGACGCCTGTAGTCCCAGCTACTCAGGAGGCTGAGGCAGGAGAACTGCTTGAACCCAGGAGGCAGAGTTTGCAGTGAGCTGAGATCGCGCCACTGCACTCCAGCCTGGATGACAGCGCAAGACTCTGTCTCTAAATAAATAAATAAATAAATAAATAAATAAATAAATAAATAAATCAAAATTGTTTTCCACTGATGAGTAAAAGCCTAAATTCAGCATATATTAGTTAGCTTATTGTTGTCAGTTTACAAAAATGTCAGTGGTCCAAAGGTAAACATAAGACAGTCATAGACTACTTGTGGTTGTATGTCTATTCCTGAAATAAGGAGAGGAGCAGTTAGACAAGAACACACTTTACTTTTAAAATTATATCTTAAGAAAAAAAAACTAACACAAATTTAGTGTTGCAACATCTCTTATGAGTTTTGAAATAGATGTGTAGACAGCAATCATGTGAAAATCAGACAATCTGGAAGGACATTATTCGTCCTCTGAGGATAAGCTCAATTCAACTCTACTAGTGTTTATGTCTCCTGGCTGTTTAGCATGGCAGTGGTTGGCTGGGGCAGTAATTTTGCATCTGTTTTATTAATGCAAATGTTTACATTGCTAAACATATTAACTATTAATAAGCCTTCAAATTGGCCATTAAGAAAACCAAATAAATTAATGAGAAACAAATGCTACCATTAATTTGAAGTTTTGCTTGGAGGCATGGGATGAGGTTGGCCAATGAAATTGATTTCAGAAACTAATAAGAATTAGCAATTAAATGTTTCCAAAGAGCCCTGCAAAATTATCTAATGAGTTTGAAAGATTCACTTGGAACTTATCATACTTTCATCTTTGTCTCTGCTCCTTGTGCTCTACCAACATCAATCTTTTTCGATGGACAATTTTTTGTGGTTACTACATCATCTCGCTTCCCCATATAAATTCTAAGTCCATGTGGTAAAGTATTCCTGCTCTGTATTCTGTTTTATCTTGACATTATTTGATTGTTTCATATTTTGATTATATGTCCATCTGTACCACTAGACTACGAGCTGCTATAAGAGAGCTTTTCTTCCTCATATCTGTACCCCTGCAACCTGGCACATAGTTAGGGCTCTAAAACCTTTGAATGAATGAACATAACTATTACTTAGTTGATTTATGGTGAATGTATATGCACATAAAATGTCCATCAGAGTAATAGGGCTCATCATTCAAACACTGCTCTATAGGAACTGTTGCAATCTATCCATCTGACAAAGGACAAATATCCAGAATCTACAAGGAACTTAAACAAATTTACAAGAAAAAAGAAAACAGTCCCATCATAAAGTGGGCAAAGGGTCTGAACAGACACTTCTCAAAAGAAGACATTTATGCGGCCAACAAACATATGAAAAAAAGCTCATCATCACTAGTCATTAGAGAAATGCAAATCAAACCCCCAATGAGATACCATCTCATGCCAGTTAGAATGAAGATTATTAAAAAGTTAGTAAACAACAGATGCTGGAGAGGATGTTGAGAAACAGGAACGATTTTACGCTGTTGGTGGGAATGTAAATTAATTTAACCATTGTGGAAGACAGTGTGGTGATTCCTCAAGGATCTATAACCAGAAATACCATTTGACCCAGCAATCCCACTATTGGGTATATACCCAAAGGATTATAAATCATTCTACTATAAGAACACATGCACAGATATGTTTATTGCAGCACTGTTCAAAATAGCAAAGACTTCGAATCAACCCAAATGTCCATCAATGATAGACTGGATTAAGAAAATATGACACATATACACCATGGAATACTATGCAGCCATAAAAAAAGGATGAGTTCGTGTCCTTTGCAGGGACATGGATGAAGCTGGAAAAATTCATTCTCAGCAAACTAACACAGGAACAGAAAACCAAACACCACATGTTCTCACTCATAAGTGGGAGTTGAACAATGAGAACACATGGACACAGGGAGAGGAACATCACACACCAGGGCCTGTCGGGGGGTGGGGGACTAGGGGAGGGATAGCATTAGGAGAAATATCTAATGTAGATGACAGGTTGATGGGTGCCACAAACCACCATGGCACATGTATACTCTACAACAAACCTGCACATTCCGCACATGTATCCCAGAACTTAAAATATATATATATATTTTTTTTTTAAAAAAACCACTTTTACAGCAAGAAGAACCACACAAAGAGTGATTTGGAACATGGGCTCAAACTCAGGCTACCTAGATTTGAAATCCGGGTTCTGCCATTGACAACCTGTGTAAGCTTGGGCAAGTTGGTTATGATTTGCTCATCTTCCAAATTTAGATAATAATAAAGGCAAATTATAGCAGTTGTAACAAGTGTATATGAAATGCTTAGCTAAGTGTTTGGCATAGAGTGAGCATTCAGTAAACATTAGATACATTTTCTTTTTATCATGGAAACTCAAAAGGCTAGCTATGCAGTGTGTTCTAATTTGAAACCTGCAGAAAATTACATGTAGTCTCATTTCAGCCTAAGCTATAAAGAAGAAAAGTCATCACTGAATTCTTTTATTTTGGTCGAATAGCCAATATTGCTATTACAGACAAGATAAATACTATGAGCTCAGTCAAGGTCAGCAAATCTTTTGAGAGGTATAGAATGTGGCATTCATGTGGAAGAGGCAGAATTAGACTAGAACCAATGATTCTTCAACTGTTCCTTTAAAGTATCCTCCAAAAAATATCCCCTGAAGTAGTACCCACCTCCAAACAACAAAGTAGAATGGGCAAGCAGAGAGGCCCCTATAAGGCTAAATGTTTTTCGAGTTTCCCATGCTACATTATGATGTTATGTGAACTTTCATTTTATTTCATAGCTGTACTTCGTTGATTTAACATAAAAATACTGCTGTTATTAGAAAACGCCACTATTTTTATGTTAGACCCACCATGGACATATTTTCCAGTGTCTTCGTGGCCCCCTGCCGCATATCCCTTTTTGAGGAGCATGGAACTAGACCAGACAAAACGTCTATAAAGCAGTATTGTTCTTTAAAGGGCTTGGAGCTGAGAGACTTGCAACAAGCCACACATCTGCCTTCTCAAACGCTATTTTTTATTGACTTCAACTATGAAACCACCTGAATATCAAATAGTAAGAAAACACAATTCAATAATCCATTCTGGTAATGCAATTTATCAACCAGCATTGAACTAATTTTTGTCATAACCCAGCTCATATGGACTTGGAGAAATAAGCACATTTTATCATTTATAAAATGAGCACGATGTATAATCATTGCTGTTTTCCCTATATCTGGATAAGAATTAGAAGAAATAACTTTTGTGACAAGTACAGAGAAAGCCAGGAAGAGCTATACAAATTTAAGTTAGAGATAAGGTTTCTCTTGTTATTGTGACCCATCTTATAGTGACAGACCCTAGGCCAGACATTTTCAGCATTAACTAAACGAGGGAAGTTAGAGGAGGGAAGTTAGAGAACGTGTGTACTCCTCCTTCAAGAAATGCCTTGAACAATGGAGCTGGCTTTTTAAAGGATCCAGGCTAGTGGTCTAGGACTGAATTGAATGACTTCAAGCAAAATGCCTTCAACAGATGCTCCTTTGTCGGGACAAAGGGCCGCAGCCTCTTTGGGGATCTATTGTGAAGCCCAAGTCCAAGTCCCTGAGGGCATCTCCACAAAACTTTAGGCATTCAGTGGCATGAGGTGGCTATTGTGCCTATAATAACTGTGAGACTCAGGAAATAAAGGTCCATGGTGAGCTGAGCACACTTGCTGTGACACTGTTCTTTCAGCTCTGATGCCTGAAGGGGAAATTTACCCAAGAGAAACGGGGAGAAAAAAAGTCAGCAACAGATAAATATGTATTCTTTGGCTGAGAGTCACTTATACCAGTTCCCCAATCTTTGGTAACCTCCACCTCATCGCCAACTTTTGGAGAATACATTGCCCCTCAGAGGCAGGTTAATTCTAAATATTTAGCAATTTCTAGTACTTTACTAGGTGGGTGGTCCCTCCTAATTTGTAGGATGAAGTTATTAAAAGCTTAGAAGAGCTACCTAAATAGCATGACCAGCTTTTTCTGACATACCCATCACTTCCCTAGTTAATTTAGAGCTCTGGCAGTCCCAGAACATCTCTATGTCCTAGGAAAACTGGGACAATTGTTCAACCTAGCCCTAAAGAATAATATCTTGCTGTCAAATTAATGCTCAGACCAAATATCTTTGGTCTGAGCCTCTTTTGAAAAACTACCTATTTCTATATATCTACCTAAACTGATTAAGGAAGGAGAGATAACCAATAAAGATATTAGTCTCCTTCTATCATGGTGCTCTCCAAAAATGTCAGCTATGGCACAGGCAGGTTTTCTGTTGCTCCAGGAAAAAGTCGCTTTACATGGCAAATGTAAGTATAATAAATGAAATTTCCCATGGGGAGAAAAAAAAAACCAACAAAACAAAACAGGTAGTACCAACTGCCTGCAGAAAGTCTCCCTGTGATTTCTCACTGCCTACTCTTTCAAACTCAAGTTGAAAGGAATGTTTTGCATTCAAAGTTTCAGAAATGCCAGTACAGATCTGAGCACCTTCTGATGCTGGGGAACCTGCATTTTCACCTGTTGAATGTGTAAAGTAGATAATTGCAAATTTTAAAATCACCGCTTTGCGTTGCTCCCTATCCTCACTGCAGATCTGATGGGAAAGTCACCAATCCTTAGTACCTAATGAATATGCTTGCCTAATTTTCTAAAACACAGCTCTTTATACAAAGAGCTTAGTTACACCTATTCTGTTAACATTTATCTACTGCTGACATCTGAATATATTTCTTAAGGATGCAGGGAACTAAACCACATACTTTATATTCTAAGCACTGATGTTTGGGTGTTCTGATTCCACCCCCAGCTACATGCCTTTTGATAAATTACCCACTGATACTTTCATCTTCCCATTCAAAAGGAGTATATATAAGAAAGTGTTTCCCGAACTAGGATGAATTTGTAAGCATATACTGAGAACATTCTATTTGAAGATAAAACAACTAAGAATCTTAGGGGAATATGGAAATAAATAGAACATCCTTGCACTCAATAGACTGATAATATAGTATGGTGAAGCAAACCAAACACATATACATAAAAATACAAAGTTACCAATGAAATGTTAATCATGTAATAGAAATTAAAGGTATGAGGCTGAAGAGGACCCACTACACAAGCCTGAATGGCTACTGTGAAGGGACGCTATAAAGACTACAATACTGAAGGATTGTCAGGCACTCTTCCAAAGGCTTTAGATGTCCAAGGCTTCTAATGACTCATATTTATAGCTATTAAAACACTTAAAAATGTAGGTGATCAACGTATATATCTCTACTTATGATTATATAATGAATATCTTCCAGCTGGTCTGGACTGCAGGCTTAATGAGAAAAGAATCTGTCCTTCCTCTGTTTTTGTTATATCCTCAGCACCTAGTACAGTGACTGGAACAGAGTGTGCATTTGAAAAATGCCAGTCCAGTTAATCCTCCCACAGTTACCTCCACCTAAGACCATGATGCTTATGATCAAAGGCTCTGAGTTTGAATGACCAGGGTCTAAATCCTAAAACCAGTATTTACTACTCAGTTGTATGCCCTTCAGCCAATTGTTTTACCTTCTTAAGCCTCACTTCCTTCACTGACATAGGAATAGCATTTGAATATAAGATAATAGTTCTTAGCACAGTCTCTAACTCTTAGTATGTGCTTAATACATACATACAATTATTGTGGCTATGTCCCTAAACATAGCATCAACCAATATGACCAAATGATCCTTCTAGACTCTTTATCTCTGGTCTTATTGTTTCCAATCGCCCACTCCAGAGAGGTGGCCAGTGCAGTCGAGAAGGGTAGAATTCAAAAAAGTCAGGAGGAAAAGGCCACTGTGGCTTAACTGGAAGCTACTAGATAATATGGTAATCATGAAGTCACAATCAGAAATAAGAAAGGATCACACGAGCAAGAAACCAAACCTTGCTACTTTTGTTCCTGGGTTGTGAGGCTCAAATTAAAACAGAAAATATATATAAAGCCTAATGCAGCACTTAGGGCAGACTTAACACCCAGTAAATGCAGCTATTACGGTAAGTATGCTATGCCTACAATTACTGCATGCTGAGTATATGAAAGAACATGGCAGCCATCGCAGTGGACAGGCCTGGGTTTCCTGAGAATCTATGGATCCACTATCAGGCAGCAGAGAAGAAAAAGCAGCCCAGGGACTTCTGCAGAGTTACAGTTAGGAACTGTCAGAAATGGCCAGGAGAGATTGGAGAGGACATTTCCGTCATTCATTCATTCATTCATTCAATACATAATTCAGAGTACTCACTCTGTGCCAGCACCTGTGCCAGCACTCTGTTCCAGGCACCTGGGCTGGAGCAAATAATAAAACTGACACAAATCCCTGTGTCATGGAGCTTACATTTTAGTGTAGGGAAGTAGGCAAGGGGTAATAATAATACATAAACAAACAGACGGTGTATGACATGGTAGTGAGTCCTATGGAGAAAAATCAGGGAAGGGGGATAGAGACTGTATCTGGGAGAGGATTGTAGTTTTGAAAAGGGAGCTCAGGGACGGCCTCACAAAGAAAGTGACAGTTGAGCAAAGACCTAAAAGAGGTTGCATATTGCACTGTGAGGCAATATGAGGGGAAGGAGCATTGTGGGCAAAAAGAAAGTAAGCAGGTAGGCCTGAGGCTGACACGAGGCAGTGTGTCAGGAGCAGAATGAAATAGGATGAGAATTACAGGATGTGGGCTGGGAGATAAAATGGGGACACAGATTGTATGATGTCTTTAGGGCATTGGAAGGGCTTTGATGCTTATTTTGACTGAGGTGGGAAGTCATTGGAGGGTTCTGAATGAGGAAATGCTGGGACCTCGTGTAAATGTTCACAGGGTAACCCTGTCTGTTCTGCTGTGTATGATGTAGTGGGCCAAAGGTAGAAGCCAAGAGACAACATATGAGGTTATTGCCATAAATACACTATCACTTCTTATTGTGCTTATGGCAATAACTTCCTACCTTGGTGGGACAAATCCTGACAAGCAGTTGAATTCTGGGTATAAATTGAAGGTGCGGCCAAAGGATTTACTGATGGATTAGATATGGGGTGTGAAAAAAACAGAAGAGTCAAAAATGGTACCAAAGTTTTGCCCTAAGCAATTGAAAGGACTGAGTTTCCTCCAACTCAGAGAAGGTTACAGGAGGAGCAGTTTCAGGAAAGAAGATAAGGCGCTGGGTTTTGGACAGGTTTCCTTTGATGCATCTATTAGACTTTCCAGTGCACAGTTGAAAAAATGACTGTAGTTTCGGGGAGAGGTCTGAGCTGGAGATAAAAATCGGAGTATCTTAAGCATATTTAAAGCCATGATACTGGAGGAGATCACCACAAATAAATCTTGGTAGAGAAGAGGTCCAAGGCTGAGTCCTGAGCTACAGTCATGCTTTGCATAATGACATTTCAGCTAATCACAGACAATGTACGCAACAGTGGTCCCATAAGGTTATACAAGAACTGAAAAATTCCTATGGCCTAGTGAGGTTGTAGCTGTCATAACATCATAGCACAATGTATTACTCATGTGTTTGTGGTGATGCTGTTGCAAACAAAACTATTGTGCTGCCAGTCATATAAAATCTAGCACATACAATTATGTAGAGTATATAATACGTGATAATGATAATAAACGACTGCATTACTGGTTCATGTATTCACTATATTATACCTTTTGTCATTATTTTAGAGTGTATGACTTCTACTTGTTAAAAAAAGAAAAGTTAACTGGAAAATAGCCTCAGGCAAGTCCTTCGGGGGGTATTCCCAAAGAAGTAATATTATCTCAGGAGAGGACAGCTCCATGACTGCTGTTGACCCTGAAGACCTTCCAATGGGAAGACATGTGAAGGTGAAAGACAGGGGCATGAATGACCCTGACCCTGCGTAGGCCTAGCCTAATGTGTGTGTTTGTGTCTTCATCTAAAAAGACGAAAATAAAGGAATAAAAAGTTTTTAAAATAGAGAAAAGCTTATAGAACAAAGATCCAAAGGAATAAAAATATTTTTGTACAATGTGTTTGTGTTTTAAGCTAAGTGTTACTACAAACAGTCAAAAAGTTAAAAAAATTAAAAGTTTATAAAGCAAAAGAATTACAGTAAGCTAAGATTTATTCATTACTAAAGAAGTAAACATAATTTTTTATAAATTTAGTACAGCTTCAGTATACGGTGTTTATAAAATCTACAATAGTGTACATCATGTCCTAGGCCTTTATATTCATTTACCACTCACTGACTCACCCAGAGCAATTTCCAGTCCTGTAAGCTCCATTCATGGTAAATTCCCTATGTAGATCTTCCATTAGTAATCTTTTATACAGAATTTTTATTGTACCTTTTCTATGTTTAGATATTTTGGATACACAAACACCATTTTGTTGCAATTGCCTGTAGTATTCAGAATAGTAACGTGCTGTACACATGTGTAGCCTAGGAGCAATAGGCTACACCATATAGCCTAGGTGTGTACTAGGCTATACCATCTAGGTTTGTGTAAGTGCACTCTATGATGTTCACAGAAAACAAAACCACCGAGTGATGCATTTCTCAGAACTTACACCTGTTGTTAAGTGACATATGACTACATTATGTTAGAGATCAGAAAGATGGAGAGACACCAGCAATAAACTAAAAAGCAACCAGTATGGAAATAGGAGGACCAGAAGAGTTTACTATCTTGGAAGCTAAGTAAAGAAAGTGTTGAAAAAAAGAGGGAGTGATCAGCTAGATCAAATGCTATGGAGAGGTTAGCTAAAAGCAGAATCAGAATGCAGTATTGGGTTTAGCCATATGGAGACAATTGGAAACCTTATCAAGAATAGTTTTGGTGCAGAGAAAGGGGCAAAGCCTGACTACAGATGATTTGAGAAAAAAAATCAAAAGAAATGAGTTAGAAACAGTATGACAAACTTTTAAAGTAAGTTTTGATATACAGAGAAGCAGAGCAGGGGCAATATCTAAAGCAGGAAGTGAGAACAAAGGAGTGTGATTTTGATTTTATTACCATGGGAAAATATCTCAGGCTGTGTGTTGATAAGAATGATCTATGCTCTACCATAAAGAAATATGCACACGTAAGTTCATTGTAGCACTATTCACAATAGTAAAGACATGGAATCAACCTAAATGTCCATTAATGGTAGACTAGATAAAGAAAATGTGGTGTGTATATATATATGTGTGTATATATATGTGTGTATATATATATATATATGAATACTATGCAGCCATAAAAAAGAATGAGATCATGTCTTTTGCAGGAACATGGATGGAGCTAGAGGCCATCATCCTTAACAAACTAATGCAGGAACAGAAAACCAAATACTGGGCCTGGGCGCGGTTGCTCACGCCTGTAATCCCAGGACTTTGGGAGGCTGAGGCGGGCATATCACGAGGTCAGGAGATCGAGACCATCCTGGCTAACATGGTGAAACCCCGTCTCTACTAAAAAATACAAAAAAATTAGCCGGGCGTGGTGGCGGGCACCTGTAGTCCCAGCTACTGGGGAGGCTGAGGCAGAAGAATGGCATGAACCCGGGAGGCAGAGCTTGCAGTGAGCCGAGATAGCGCCACTGCACTCCAGCCTGGGCGACAGAGTGAGACTCTGTTTCAAAAAGAAAGAAAGAAAGAAAGAAAGAAAACCAAATACTGCATTTTCTTACTTATAAATGGGAGCTAAATGATGAGAACATATGGACACAAAGAGGGAAACAACAGACACCGGTACCTACTTGAGGGTGGAGGGTGGGAGGAGGAAGAGGATCAGAAAAAATAACTGTTGGGTACTAGACTTAGTACCTGGGTGACAAAATAATCTGTACAACAAACCCACATGGAACAAGTTCACTTATATGACAAACCTGCACATGTACCCCTGAATCTAAAATAAAAGTTAAAAAAGAATTCTAAAGAAAAGAAATGACAACGATCTAGTATAAAGGGTAAGTTGATGATGTGAGAGTTATCAGAGAATTCTGTGGGTAGAGAGGGTGGCATAAGGTTTTGATGTTATGAACCTTTTGTACCCATAGGGCAAAAAAAAAGAACTAATTTACAGGCGGCTTCAGGGCTGAGAGTTAAAGCACATTCATTGGTGTGCAAATCACATGGCCTAGTATAGAAGAAGTTGTTAGGTTTGAACTTCCCCTTTCCATGTTTCAGGCTCAAGCGACATAATTATTCTAGTCAAAACCAATAATAAAAGACAATTAAATGTTTTTATTTTTTAACTCTCCTCCCTTTCAAGAATAAGAGCTGACTAGGCTAATCTAACTCTAAAGGAGTTTTTTTGTTATTTCTTAGAAGAGAATTTTTAAAAACTGTATGTAGCACAATGCCTGTTACAGCAAAGATTAAATAGTGAGTAGAGGTAATATAGACTTTTATGCCAGCATCTTCTAGATAAGGAATATAGTCAAGCTGTTTCATTGAAGCACGTATTCTTTATTCTGAATGAATCTCTGGTGCTGTATTCTTAAATTAGGCAAATTTGGGTCAAAAGAAACCCCTTGTTAGGAGTAGGATGGGGGAAGGAAAAGAAAAAGGGTGTAAGAGAGGAACTCATAGGCATTCTCTGTTTCTCTGATTTTCAAAGTGCTCAGAAGGGATAAGAAATTTATGTTTTGATAACAAAACCTAATAGCTGTGGGAAGAAGGAAATCCAACCTCTGCTGCTTAAGATTGAACGACATAGAGTACTGCACCCAGTACCCCTAAGACACGCAGTCAGGGGGGGACAATGAGTCTCCTGAAATAATGTATGTGAAAGACATGTGGTCAGTGACCCTGGCTCAATCAGAAGGCTGAAGGATCATGGGATAAACTACTGTCAGGACCAGGATGGTGGTGGAGGTGCCCCAGGGGCAGCCCCTGCAGCCGTGTGACTGGGACCAAGATCTCTGTTAACATGAGATATGAAGCAGAATGAAACCCTGGGACTTGCTGTGGAGAGGTTTGACCAAGGTTTGGTCAAAATTTGGACCACCAAGGACATCAGAGATAGGCTTCTGTGTGCCAGTGCTGGGCTTGTCTCAGTCAGTGAAACCATGTGGCCGCATCCACGCCTGTAGCTGAAGTGAACAGATCAGACTCCAGCACTCTCAGAGACTAGCTTTTGGAGCCAGGACAGACCCACTTTGCTCTGAGTTCTTTCTGTTTGTTGTTTGTTTGTTTGTTTGTTTGTTTGCTTGCTTGCTTGTTTTAACCAGTTGAAACTGTCAGGGGTGGGCAAGATCTTTGAGAGGATAACTTGGATTTCCCAAGTCAATGGGAATTTGAGTGATAATGTAACATTAAATAAGTGCATATGATCATATTTACCTCTGAGTTGGTGAAATAAGTCATGTGAGTTGTAATTAATTGCAGGTATTGTGTAAGGAAGTACATTTATTGAAATCCACATTTAAAAATATTTGTTCAATTTCTTCTCACTCTCACCATCTTAAGCATATACTTAATTCAGTCCTCTTTCTTTGGCCGTTTACTAACATATACCTTAAGGATGTTATTAACAGATATTGGCACATTTATGATACTGACATAAAACCCCATATAGCAGGTCAGAATTAAAGACAACAAAATAAAATATAATTAAATACAGCTGAGTATTTAAAACTGTGTGTCTTCCATCACTGTGTTGGTGACCCCCTGTGCCCATCATCTCTAAATCTTGTATAGTAGATATATTTGATACATGAAAAATATTTAATGTGTGGCATAAAGATATTTTCTGTGCACTCCTACCTCAAATAATACTGAATAATAAACTCCAAAACATGACCAAATGCATTATCTTCATTTTCCAGCTGCTTTATGAGACACTGCTCTAGGTGAGATGCCTCTCGTTTGTGATTTCTCTATTTCTCTATCATATTGCATTAAATTCCACTTATCCCACTTCTGCCTTTCTTCTGGCACCTCATTTCAAAATCAAAGATTTCATTGATGAATTTTTTAAAAGCACAGTTCATAATTACAAATGATTTCAACTACAAAAGTGAAGAGCCTTTTGTGACAAAGAGAACCAGAAATGAAAAGCTCATACAAAAAGCTCTTCATGTGTTGCATTTCCATAAAGTGAAGTATAATTGGGATTCTATTCACTTCAATACAAACCAGAGTGGAAATACTATTTTTTTAAAAAAAAAACAAGTATGAAAAATGAAAATACTAGATAAATTCTCTCTGGGAATAGTACCTTGGGAAGCAGTGCTTTACATTGGAAAGACCTCAGACTTGGTGTCAAAAAACAGGGAATTCTGTTTCCAGCTTTGCGATTTGTGGCTGATTAGTTACATTTTCTGAAGTGGCTTAGCTACAAAATAAGGAGTCAGACCAGATATCTCTTCAGTTAGGGTCTATCCACAGGAATTCTATATGTAATTCAACACACCGTCATCAGCTTTAAGCAATGTGTCTTCCATATCCTCTTACTTGCCCAAATATTTATATCTTCAAACAACAATAAGTTTAAAATCATGTCATACATTGGGCCTACTAAAAATAAAATATGAAAGTCAAATTTATTTTTTAAACCTTAATATCGTTAGATATAGTTAAACTATATTGTATAACCATGTTAATATGTGATAAACTTGGTACACTAACAAAGTTATCATTAAAATAACTGGCATTTGAATAACCTTTACTATATCTTAAATGTGTGCCAGGAAAGGGTCTGCTTTCCATCATTACTATTCTAGAGAACAAGGCACTCAGGAAAGCAACAGGAAATTTCATTAATATATACCTGGGTACTTATTTGTGATAAATGATGACAAATGCAATATAATGTCTATTTATTACTTGAAACCACAATTATAATAGTAACAATAGCAATAATAATCACTATAAGACTGAAACTTGATTCATAAGGATAAGACCTCCAGAAATATCTGAAGCTTCATCCTTAGATAAATATTATTTTCATAAATGGACACCTACAATATATTTAAATAAATATAAAACAGAAATCTGTTTTCAACAGAGGACTAGGAAGGGAGTGATAGTTGTCTTTCATACCTTGATACGATGCAGCACATGCTACAGGATATTCTGGCTTAGAGCACCAGCAAAGCTAAGGCAGGAAAACCAAAAGTTAACCTTTTTTTGTTTGTTTGTTTGTTTCATATTTCAACTAAAGCTTCCAAAAGTCACCATATGGAGATACCAGAATTTTGATTTTAACTTACATACGGAAGTAGGGTAGGGATGGAGTGTGCCATAATCTTTTTACTCCTTAGGGACGTTTAATCCTTTGCTAACATTCATTGGATGCTTACCATGCACCAAGCACTGTTTTTAGTACCTCGGATACACAGTACTTGCTATATTTGGTTTTTATAACAAACTCTATGGAATAATAATAACCCCATTTTACAGTTGAGGAAACACTGGCACATAGAGTTTAAATAAGTTGCCGAGGATCACAATGCTACTAAGTAGAAAAACTGGAATTACAACCAGGCCATGCTGAATTGCCCCTGTAAAGGTCTTGACTTGTACCTGAGTCTTGCCATAACACATAGAATTGGAGGCCACTGGCCAAATTTGATTCTCTGAGGATCATTGAGCCCTCAAGCTTTCCTATGTTACACATGCAGAAACCATTGTTCCAGGTCATGTAGCTGGTGAGTGACAGAGTCAGATCTGGTTGGGACAAAGAAGAAAGAAGAATTCTTCAGCATAGTAGTAGGTCTTGAATAATAACCTCATGGTTCAGAAGTAAGATGGTTCTCTGGTGATTCTGAATAATCAAGGATGAAAAATGGATGATGTAAATAAAAGACTTGCAGCAAAGAGAGCTCAGCTGAAATAAGAGAAAATAAATTCTTTTTGAATTTATTATTTCAGGAGACTCATTGAAACACGATGATGAAGGTTCTCATATTTGAAAACAAAACAAATAAATTAATTAAATTAAATCAGAATTATCTCTAAATCTGTGCTTGTAATCTTAGGTTTAAAAATGATTAAAAATAAACATAAGAATTATGGCAGCACTTAATACTTCATAAAAGGAATTTTTAGCTTTACTATATACATTAAATTCATAATATATAGTTTAATGCTACAACAAGAAGAAACTAGGATGAATAAAACATGATGAAACGCAATTGGAAACAATTGCACTAATGCAAAACGAGTCATTTGAATAGTCTAGTGGTATTTTTAGTTAATACTGGAATTGTATGCCATGCTACTCTAATACCAGCCACCTGGCCATTACAATGGAAATGTAGACAATAAACTATGGAAATGTTTCGTTCTTCATGGGATTGAAAATATTATGGTGGGAGTTAGTGTCAAAGTCCTTACAAATGTTAGAAATGAAATTAAAATGTCACCTTCAAAGCTAAATGTTTGTTAATGCTTCCATTGAAAGGCATGCAGAAGAATCAATAGCATACTCATAAAGTATAAAAGTAATTATCAATAAATTCAAGTAAAAACACTACAAATAAAAGTATTTTCGACAAGGTGAGGGTCAAGCTTCCTATTTTATGTTAATACCGTAAGCTGATGAACTGTTTAGTGACCACGGTCAATAGGAGTGGAATTAATTTAATAATGTAATTATTTCTGGTAGTGATCATACAAAAAAAAAACTAGTTCAAAGCAGAATTGGGGAGAAAAAGTTGTCTCATTGCCAGAATATTCTCTGATCTTATAAAATTAATTTTAGATGCTTCATGGTAGAATATATTATATACATATACATTTTGCTCTACTTAAAAAAGTTATCCTGAGGGATTTTTTGTGGGCACTAAGTCATGTGTGTTCTCATTGAGTAAAAATGAATTTTAAACTTTGCTTTCACAGCTCCTATGTGCCAAGCAATCAGAAACATAATGATCTTGCAAAATTTACTGCTTTTGTTTTAGAGCTCTTTTATTCCAAGATATTGTATATGTAAAAAAATTATAGCAAAAAATGTCTTCCCTGGTGTAGATATATATTTTTTACTTTAAAATTGATATTCTAAGAATTCTTATTTTTCTCACTGAAGCAGTCAGAGATAGAAAGGGAATTGTTACATGGGTATATCACGTTTGAAGCATCCTTCCTGACCCCAAAATAAAGAAGGACTTGAGCATGGATGATGAGGTCGTTTCCTAGGTGTGATTCAGTGACAACTGAATAAAGGACTTCTAGTGACCTGCTCTTCAGCCACTAATTCTCTTTCAAGATGTAACAAGTCATTTCATTTCTGTAAGCACCAATGCTTCTATAGTTAATCTGTACATATTCTGGGGTTATGTTCCTCAAGGCTGAGAGTAGGGTCAGGATGAATTTGAGGTTATTAGATGAAAGGAAAGACAAATCCGTTTATCATGACAGCCACAGAGCAAGATGTTAGAGGAAAAAAATCTCGTATGTGAAATTTAGTCAGTATTTGGCAACAGTTTAAATTCAGTTGCCATGTATTCTCAAATAATAGAGGGTTAAAGGCACAGATTGAAAGTAGAATCTATTCTTGAGATGTTAAGATTTTGTGTAGTTTAAAAGCTACTAGCCATTTTATTCAATTACTTTGGTCTGCAGAAATGCATGCTTAATTAATAAAGCCAGGCTATAATCATTTATCTTGTAATGAAAACCTTTTATGGGTAGCCACTAATGAAGATCAGACTTTGCCTTTCCAATTGTGCCCATCGCATGGTACAGGGGCAACCTGCGTGATGATTGAGGGATGAGTGGATGCCATGTGCTACATCATTTGGAATTGTCATTAAACATCCACATATCAATTATGTCACACCAAGGTTTATTAATGATGTACTTATCAAATATTCATTGTATGGTACTAACATTTAAAGAATGTGTTCTACCGAGCCTAATGGATCTGTGCTTTGACTACCTGGGTTATTTAGTGAATTAATTCCAGGAATAATTTGAAATACTGAAATCTATGCTGATATAATACGTCATGTTCTACAAGAGCTTAGCTGCTCTTTTATTTGAGGGTAGCTATATGTTTTGGTGATAGAGAGGAGGTGGTGCGTGTACTGTGACAAGGAGAGGGTGGCCTGTGCCTATGTACACAGACACACCAATGCATGCACATTCGCTGGGCACATGCACACACAGTGCTGCACCCAAAATTGGGCCACCATTGTTGTTTATTTCAAAATGCTAATTCTGTTTTTATATCTAGTCTTGTCATTAAAATTACCTGAGATGTCTTAAATTGACAGCCTCAATCAGGATCTCTGTACAAGTTGTACTAACGTTTTATAAGTGTGTCCCACCTAGTCTTTACTCTTGAGGTATAAAAGAATTGCCATTCTCTCCCTGGTTCTTTGTTGAAAACAGATTTCTGACCTACATTTATTTAATTCATTCTATGCCTTTAACCAAGTGTGTAAATGGGTGACACATGTGCTAAGGCTTATTGTACTGGACCACTAGTATAATTTCCTGCATGTACTATGTTGTGACATGAATCACTGTTCTGAGCACTTATTGCAAAACCCAGTATTGGCAACAACGGCAGCTCACGTTCACCCATTGTTGGAACAGTGATGCTCTGCTCCAGATGTAAAAGCATCTTCCCCTGTTTTGCTAAGTCTGAGTAGGGAATAAGGAGAAGAGGAGGAAATGGTAGAGGCCATGGATCAATTACATCCAACCCTCGAATATCAAGGACGATAATGGAAATGTGCTTATGGGTGAGTAACATAGGATAGGAAGAACACAGAACTTCTTTCGGAATAATTTTGGGGAAAAAGACACATAATGCATAATAAAGTTAGTAATATTTTATTAGAACCCTGAATTGATATGAAATATAGAGAGAGTAGGGTTTTATTTGTAGAATGGTAATGGAATGTATTTCTACCTAAAGCATATTTTTCAGGTAACTGAACCTCATTGAACTAAATCTCAAAACTTTAAAACATTGATCTATTTTTGGATTTGTTTAGGTATCTGCAATGCCTTTAGTTGAGTCCTTGTGAAAACAGCTTGTCTGCAGCTTCTGCTTAGTGGATTATCAGAATCAGGCCAGATAACCAAAGCCACTCACTCCCTCTATCTGCAAACTGGGGCAGGAAAAGGACTGATTCAGAGCAGGTAAAACACAGGATAATCAACAAGCCGTGACATTGCCAGTGTGAACAGATGAGCTGGAAAAATCACATTATCTCTCTTGGAATTTTATCAGAATCACCTAGAGAGAAGACAGAAGCAGAAGTTCAAACTAAAAAGAGGCCTAGAGAGAAGAGCCCAAAGAGGTAATGCCTAGCTGCAACAAGGGATCAGACTCAGACAGAAACAGAGATACATAAACCAAGACACCAGGGACCTGCAAAATCAGGACCCAGCCCTACGAGCCGACTCAGTTCTTGACCACTTATACCTTTTTACTTGCAATTTGTAGTCATTAGGTACACACACACACACACATACATACACACACACGCCCACACACTTCTCTTAGGATGTATTTTGGTCCTCCTATTACTTGCAACCAAAAGAGCTTAAATAAAACACCAGCACCACTGAAGTGGATTATAAACTATGTCCTCTTATTGAACAGAGCACAATAAACCTACTTTAACCTTTTCCGATTGCCTGAGGCCATCATTACTGACAACTGCTGTGAGCTGGTTTAACACAGTGAGGCTTTCTGGGGCTACCGGGCGTGTGAGGCTCTTTATCTCTTTCCCAAACGGCCTCAGAAATGATGCTTTTTGAATCCCTTGCCTCCTTTTTGTGGTTGTGCAATCTCTCCCATTACCATAAATCTGTTTGACTCTAACAGCTTTCTTTCTAACTTTCTGCTTCTAATCTTCTGGAGGCTGGGAAACAAGATAACCAAGCTTGATGTATTTCTGTGTAAAATAAGAATACGGCTCATATACCCTAGGTCACCTCTTCAAAATATAATATCTATATACTGTAACATCCTGACAACTGGAAAGAAGGGAGGGAGGAAAGACATACTTTGGGTCTGGTGCTCACTAATTCCCTTAGTCATGGATATTTAATCCCTGCCTCACAACATGCCCACAGTGAAATTCTAATGTTCTACATGGTTACTTCAACAATAGCTGGTCACCTAACCTTTCATAACCAAGGCAAACATTTTAATATCTTTACATTTACTTAAGAAATTGACTTCAAAACCAAAATAAACACATTCAAATCGTATTTCTAAAATACAATCAGATAATAAAATCATTTTCTTGAATTATTAATATACTTTTTTGGATTTTTTTGGTTAATTTTCTTCAAGTTAAGCCTGACCTGCAGAGCATAGTCTATTCTTAGTCCTTTGGATACCTATAGTGGTAGCCATTTTCTCCAATAGTGAAGTATTTTACATGGTTCATTCATTTATAAAATGTATTTATTGAGTATCTACTACATTTCAACAATAAGCTAGGCCCAGGAGACATATTGGTGAACAAAATGGATGAAGTTCTATCTTCCTGAGGCTTGTATTATACTCCAAATACTACAAGTAATCATATGTAATTTGGACTGATGAGTAAGAAACGTTTGGGCAGGCCAAACAGTTTTTCCCAGAGATAACATTTCCCCAAATAGCCTAAAGCTAGAATAACCACTTAATTTATTGTTCAAAACAGGACAATTTTGAGAATAAAAATGATATTGAGAATAATTGCATAGAGTTAATAGCCATTAGTCTGGACCTTCCCAGAACAAACTACATGGATGGTTACCTTGTCTACAGGTCAAAGTCTGGTATATAGTAGATGTTCAATAAGCATTTACTGAATAAACTGGAAAGGTATGAATCAAGGAGCCACCCAACTAAATTATTAATGAAAGCAGCAATTATTCCCTGACCAACTTTTCAGCCTCTTCCATTCATATAAGCAAGTTTAATCAAACCTTGGTTACTTCCTGCCTATGTTACTATAAAAATAATGAAATGAAGTGGCTGTTGGCGAACATTCCTGAAATATCACTTAGGAAAATTACATGGACCAAAGGCAGTTTCATTACATTTAAGTCTCGGTTTGAGACAGGCTTATTTCCGAAATTATTCTGTCTTCCATAATAGTTTCTTTTCCCAATTGTAAATTAACCCTTCAGTTAAATTCTTACTTGATTAATATCAGAGTATGTATTAGTCTGTTCTCATGCTGCTAATAAAGACATACCCAAGACTGGGTAATTTATAAAGAAAAGTGGTTTAATGGACTCAAAGTTATGCATTGCTGGGGAGGCCTCACAATCATGGCAGAAGATGAAGGAAGAGCAAAGGGATGTCTTACATGGTGGCAGGTAAGAGCGCATGTGCAGGGGAACTGCCCTTTATAAAACCATCAGATCTCATGAGACTTATTCACTATCATGAGAACAGCATGAGAAAAGACCCACCACCAGGTCCCTCCCATGACACATGGGAATTATGGAGGCTACAATTAAAGGTAAGATTTGGGTGGGGACACCCCCAAACCATATCAGAGTACATGAGTGACAAATAAGGCACTAAGTGGAAAGAAAACCTCACTCCCAACCAGTCTTCCTTTAAAGTTTTGCCAGCCCAAGTGTCATCGTTTCATTGTTATCTCCCTTTCCTCAGAATGAGCAAATGCTATAGTGTTATCACTTCTACCTGAATTTACTGTAACTGCAACTCAGAATTTGCCTACACTAAATCATTAAGGACCAAATATTGCTCTAAGGACTCTTAAGTTATCATCTATGCATCTTTCAGGGTATCTGCAAATCCCTGAAACTGTGTTCACAATCTTGTCTATAAGTGTATTTTTCCCCCGCAAGGGAGATTCCATACTTTTGTCTAATTTTCAAAGGGCTCTGATATGGTTTGTCTCTATGTCTCCACCCAAATCTCATCTTGAATTCTCACATGTTGTGGGAGGGACACAGTGGGAGGTAATTGAATCATGGGGTCAGGTCTTTCCTATGCTGTTCTCGTGATAGTGAATAATTCTCACAAGATCTGATGGTTTTATAATGGGGAGTTTTCCTGACACAAGCTCTCCTTTTTTGCCTGTTGCCATCCATGTAAGGCATAACTTGCTCCTTCTTGCCTTCTGGCATGATTGTGAGGCTTCCCCAGCCAGGTGGAACTGTAAATCCATTACATTTCTTTCTTTTGTAAATTGCCCAATCTTGGGTATGTCTTTATCAGCAGCATGAGAATGAACTAATAAAAGCTCTAAGATTAAGACTATTATTCTAAGGAAAGAAACTAGCAAATGTTAATTTCTTCACCTTACATCCCACGAAACTATTTTCCAAAATCATTTTAATACATTTGGCAAGCCATTAGGGACAACTAGGGTGAAAGTTATGGCCATTAGCTGGGAAGGTAAAAGTACAAAGTGTTACTCACTCCATTCAGAATGACCTGGGTCTCCACTAAGTAAAAACTGTATATGGATTATGTCTGCTCAATTCTACTGTTACCAGACTGATCTGAGCACTTGGATCTCACTTGTAAATCTCTAATAAAATGTGTTTTTCCATCTGTCTCTCCCTCTTCCACCACCACCCACCTACCTAACCATTTCAATCGGTTCTGGGCAGATAAATCTTAGAAAACTTCTCGTCTCAAAAGCCTTTAAATGTCTTCAAAGGCACTCATTTCCCTTGAAAAAATTCAAAATGCTTAGCCAATAATTAAAAAAAAAACTCTATAAATTTATCTATCAGTATTTCCTTTCATTAACATTCTACTCTAATAACAAAATGTATGCTCTGTTCACCAAAGCATTATTCTATCTTCAAGGTTGGACTAGAGCAGCAGTCTCTGACCTTTTTGGCATGAGGGACCGAATTCGTGGAAGACAATTTTTCCACAGAGGGGCCAGGGGATGGTTTTGGGATGAAACTGTTTCACCTCATATTGTCAGGAATTAGATTCTCATAAGGAGCACACAATGTCGATCCCTCGAATGTGCAGTTCACAGTAGGGTTCATGTTCCTATGAGAATCTAATGCCTCTGCTGATCTGACAGGAGGTGGAGCTCAAGCAGAAATGCTCACCTACCACTCCCCTCCTGCTGTGCGGCCCGGTTCCTAACAGGCCACAGACCAGTACCAGTTTGTGGCCCTGGGGTTGTGGACCCCTGGACTAGAATATCTCACCATTCTCCAGACTCCAATACTCTCCTGATATGGCTTGGTTCGGTGTCCCCATCAAATCTCATGTTGGAATATAATCCCCAGTGTTGGAGGTGGGGCCTCGTGGGAGGTGACTGGATCTTGGGGGTGGATTTCTTATGAATGATTCAGTGCTATCCCCTTGGTACTATCCTCTCAATAGTGAGTGAGTTCTCATGAGATCTACTTGTTTAAAAGAGTGTGGCACCTCCCCACTCTCTGTCTCACTGCTGCTCTGGTTGTGTGAGGTGCCTGCTCCCCCTTTACCTCCCACCATGATTGTAAACTTCCTGAGGCCTTCCCAGAAGCTGAGCAGATGCCATCATGCTTCCTGAACAGCCTGTAGAACCATGAGCCTATTACATCTCTTTTCTTTATAAATTACCCAGTCTCAGGTATTTATTTATAGCAGTTCGAGAACAGACTAGCACACCTCCATTCTGGTGAAGTTGAGCAGCCTATCCTTGGGTATCCAAGTGAGTAGCATCTCCCTCTGTGAAGCCTGTTCCAGTCACCAAGGTCAGTCACACTTCTGTCCCATGTTTCTCAACCTGTATAGTAACTGTCATCTGCCACTGCACTGTGGGCACTTAACACATGCTGACCTTTATTTACAGTAATACTTTAAATTGTATACCCAGTCTTCCCAACTATGATGATTTATTGAAGGCAAAAGCTATCTTACACCTCTTTGATCCCTCACTATCTTTAGCACTGGCTACTTGTTGAAGATACTGTTTGATAACCATATCAAATGGTTAGCAGAGTGAGAGTATTATCGACTAAGACGGGGGGTTATCTTTATCATGAAGGTGCCATATTTTCTTGTTTTGAAACCCTTAGGCAGACTAAGATGTGCCTTGTGTCTTATCTGTAAGAAATATTGTGTTTTCACAAGAGGACTAAAGTCTTTGATGTCTGTTTAAGAATATGGAGAAAAGAATTGTTTCAAAATTGTTCTGAGGATATTACTGTGGAAGAGTATAACTCTCCACAGAACTGCTCAGACAGGACTGAGGATGAAAACTGGCAAACAGTACTCCTGAGAATGTAACATAAAAATCAATCAATTGAATTGAAATGTCTCTCTGGGCATTATGCCGAATGTAATATAAACCCAAGATTTAAAACTGGAGACAAGGTTCTGTTCAACTTGCCTCAAAAGGAACCACTAAGGGGATCAGGAGTCCCAGGGGGTCTGGTGAGTTGGTTCCATCACTCTCTTCATCTCAATGGCAGCAATACACACACACAAAAATAACTCTGTGGCACTCATGTGCAAATCATCACAGTAACATCAATACCAAAGGTAGTGGCTAGAAGGAGAATGCCAGATGACATTACCATTGATACATGAAGACCCATAATCCAAACACAAAGTAGACTGTAATGTCACACTCACATGATGAAGCCCTATAAAAGTATTCTTTAGGATTATCTGCTAAAGAGTAAAGCAATTCCAATGCATTTATATAGAAGGGTCAAAAACCCATAAGGCCAAAGTCAATGAAAAATCTGATATGATCTAGAGAAGTAGTTGATGAAGTTATTGAAGCCAGGAAAAGAAGAAAGATGGCGATACTTCTATCAGTGTTCCCAGTTTGCTTGGCATTTTGGACTTGGAGGATCACATAGCTTGTAGATAAGCAAATACAGAATTTCAAACATCCTAAAATTTATTGTCTTCTTTCCTTATTAATCGAGGTTAAAATGAACAACAACCTGCCATGTACAGGCAAAGTAGATTTTGAAGTTAAAAACCTGGTAAGGAGGCCGGGCACGGTGGCTTACGCTTGTAATCCCAGCACTTTGGGAGACCGAGGCGGGAGGATCAGGAGGTCAGCAGATCGAGACCACGGTGAAACCCCGTCTCTACTAAAAATACAAAAGAATTAGCGGGGTGCGGTGGCGGGCGCCTGTAGTCCCAGCTACTCAGAGAGGCTGAGGCAGGAGAATGACGTGAACCCGGGAGGCGGAGCTTGCAGTGAGCCGAGATCCCGCCACTGCACTCTAGCCTGGGCGACAGAGCGAGCGAGACTCCGTCTCAAAAAACAAACAACAAACAAACAAACAAACAAAAAACTGGTAAGGAGTTTGCATGCTGTGGTTTCTCCATCCTTCGAATGTAGAAGATTCAAGAGTTACTATCTGTGAACGCTACCTTCCCCCAAAAGACCAGCAATGCTAGATTCCCACACTAGGGGCCACTTATTAAAAAATGAAGAGTTTGGTATAAATATTTGAGGGCTACTCTGAATCTTAATTAATTCCCAAGGAAAGCATCAGTTTGTCTGGGTCTCTTTTGTCCTGTCACTTCATTGAAAAATCCCCAGCTTACATATTCAAAATTCGTTTTGTGTTAGAGAAACTGAACATCTGAATATATTACTACCTTAAGGAAAGACTACACACAGAGACCCAAGCAGAGAAGTAACAGATAAACAACACTTAAAATTTGCATTTGAAGAGCACACAATATATGTGAATATATAAAGTGGGTGTATTTAGAAAGAATTATGCAGTCGCTTAAATTTTGTTACAGTGTTTTTCTCAGTATCCCTGTCTGCATAATGATGCTATGAAGAGACAGGTAAATAAGTGCAGCTGCAGGATTCTTTATGGATAATCCTCTTGGAAAATCAAATATCATTGGTAATACGCCTGCTGTTCCAAAACCTACATTTTAAATCAGAGGCTGTGGTAACCACTGCTTTCATTGGAAATTATTATTATTATTAGTTGCTATTACTTTTATGTTGAATGGAGCGTGCTGCCACTTGCTAGTTATCAAGATCCATAAATTCTCTTGAAAGGAATTACTATTTAGGAATTGTACTAAGTTTTCAGGTTGATTGTTTTTCTTCCCTCTCCTTTTATTCTCCTAATAATGCCCTTATTATGGATGTTCAATAGCTCCTGTGTTTGTTTCCACCTTGCATGTCCCACCCCCACTAGACTGTTAAAAAAGAAAAATGCATTGCTTTTGTAAATTAAAAGAAATTAGTACCTAACATAGAAAATAACCACAGACCTCATTGAGACACATGATTTTTGAATTATATAGTGATCCACTGTGTGTCTGTAATTGCTGAATTGATGACCAGAATGACTATATTTGCTTTTCACCATACTTGAGGTTTGGATTTAATTTGAAAATATAGGTAGTCAAGCGCTCTCTCTCTCTGGTCACTCTGCCACTGAGTTTAATGGCCTACCTGAAGGGTTTCAATGATATTTTGAGATGATTACTCCGAATACATTCTTGAGAAGAAAAAAAAATTAGATTTCTAAACAATAGATCACAGGAGAATGTGGTTTAATACTACTCTAGGCCAAAGCAGGAGGAAAACAAATCTTTTAACCTTTCCCTCCTGCTATAAACTAAAGTCAGCTATTCCATATTCAAATGCAAAATAAAATGCCAAACATGTTAAATTTGTATTATTGAAAAAAAGAGATTCTTGTGTGCTTTTGTCTCGACCTTCTAGCTCAGTGCTCATTAAACCAGCTGAGAAATACTACTGGTCATATTTGGCAGGCATTTATTGGCTTTACTATTGTTTGTTTTTAGCACTAGAATGTGTTTGCTAAAAAAAATAAATTCAGCTGATTTTAAGCTTCTTGACGTAGAAGTCTTCCAGTGAGTGGGCTATTTCTAATAAGATTAGTAGTTTTTTCATTCATATTTAGATTTCTGGATTTTCAAGGTCATGTTTTAGTTTATATTTGAAATGTGCTGGAGGAAATTAGGGAAACACCTCATTTTAGAGGTGAATTCTGCAGGCCAGGAACTGCATACACCAAGGTGTTCTGACAGCCCTTCCAGACCTGGTTCAGGTAGCCCCATTCCACAGCCTTTCTAGGCTGCAGCCAGCACCTACCACTTCCTCAGTCTCCCCCTTGGTTAAATGGGTCACAGTCAGTCCAGGTTCTTGAGACAGAAATCCCGGGCATCTGTTATCCTTAATACTTTCCTTTTCCTCTCAGCCAATCAGCAGCCAGATTCTATAAATCTACTGCCTCAAAGTTATCTCTTTCATTCCTCCAATCTCAACACCTTTGCAGCCCTCATCAATGATAACCTGAGCTATTTCAAGAACTGGTTCTTCTTTCTCCCGTCTCTGTCTCTAACTCATACATGTCATCTGAATCATCATTCTAGAATAAAAATGGGATGACTTCACCCATTTACAATCTTTAAATATCATCTTAGCAGCTACACAATAAAGTCCTAACTTGTTAGCATATATTTTATAATATTTCATTGACTAGCTTTTGTCTACATGTCCAGCTGCCTCTCTCTCTTCTTCCCTTTCTCCATCCTCTCTGCCCTCTAGCCATGCCTCATTACTTGCAGTTCCTTGATCAAGACATGATTTTTCCTCAGCTCCTTTCTTGTATGTGTGTTGTTCTTTCTGCCTAGAATGTCCCCTTTCTCACCTGTCTGGGAAACTCCTATGCATTCTTCATGACTCCCCAAGGAGAGTCTTTATCGAGCAGAGTTATGCAAATATTTTTTACTGTTGTTGGTAGTCCCACAAACACCATCATTTCTCCTCTATTTTAGCTCAGTTCACCTTCTTACAAATATCACTTGTATGCTTGTCTCTCTTCAATAGATTATGTGTTCTCAAAGGTCTGGGAATATGACCTTTCTATACAGCAGAGCTTAGTGCTTAGGGGCTCCTCAATATTTATTTAAAAAATTAATGAGGACTTGTTACTAATTGTTCATAAGAATAATTATTGGGCACATCCAATGAATCTAATTACAGGGATGTTTGAATTTTAATATTTCTTATAACAACATCACAATATTGAACTCAACATCAGTATTTATAGTGACCAGTGGTGTTGGCTGAATTTGTCTTGTAGATATGTTTTGTTTCATCAGTATAGTAGTTATTATTATTCACTTAAAGTTTTTAATTATTACCATTGTTACACTGAAGTTCTGATTTTTCAACTTCTGCTAAAAAAAAAAAATAGAAAGAAAGTTAAGGAATCTTGGGCCCTATTTTCCTCATGAGAAGCATCCCCTGAAACTGTGACAGCTGTTCTCTTCATGTGGGGGTTGGAGCTTTGCAGCTTACCACCTGCTTTACCCCTGATCCCCATGACTGCCTGGCCCCTGCAGACATTGGCTTTCTGACCCGATGTAGAGCAAGGTAATGGCGGAGCTCTGCACAGTAGGGAAAGCATCTGTGTGGAAGTAAAGATGTCTGGATCTTTATATTTGCTTTGTAATTAGTAAGTTCTGCAGCCTTATTAAAATCTACAAATGTTTTGGCATATTATTTTCTCAATCTGTAAATTTTAGAAAAATGAGTTACATCAATGTGTTTCAAAATATCAGAGATGTCCATCAAGGAGGGTGACTGGGGAAAGCTAAGAAAGAGTGAGAAAGCCCTTGCCTCTTTCTAAAGAACTCCTACACCTTGATCATTTTGTATGTCCTGGTGCCATATGATGTTTGGTTGAAAAATGGGCTCCAATACTAAATAAAAGTTAGAAATCCACTACATCAGATGGTGTCTAAGTAACCTATAAGCTCAAAATCTTATTGTTATAATTATTATTTTTAATCATGATCAAAGGACATTAGAAGTTATCATCTTCATTGGTCTTCATTTAATTGACACAAGTGCTCAGTCTACCTTTCATTAATAATCAACAAGTATGAGCTGTAATTTTAGTTACAGGACCATTTCTTCATGGTGTTAGCTATATCATGAAAACTCTACACAGTTCTAACTGTTCTTGACAGATGAGAAATTAGAGAAGGTCTCTTTTTATAACATAGATTATGAATGTCACTCTGAGATGTTCATGTTAGAATAGAGTTTAGTCTTCCAAAAGGGACAGAGGCATAAAAAAATCACATTCCATAACTGTATTACATTCCTTCTCCATCACCTAAAGGACAGTATAATACCAAGCTCTAATAATGCTCATTTGATTGACTCAGCCCCAACAGCCTTTTATCAGGCACAAGCTACTTCTCTATGATGGATGACTATGGTTTATGGTGCACATCTCATTTGCAAACAGAGTTTGCAAATTCCCCTTCACTGGCAGAATTCTGATGAAGCCTGTATCATCATTATTGCACACTAAACTCATTAGAATAAAAAGAAGAAAAGAGTGGCTGGGTTTATGGATGATTTGCTAATCTTGTTGTGTGAGAATAATACATTTAATTTTCCTTTGTGGGACCTGACCCATCTTGAACTTTTGTTTGCTATTAGTTGGCAGAGTCCCTTAGGTGCTTGAAGTACTTTCTTTTGTACCTTTAAGGTTAAAAAAGGTCAGTAATCAAATCAAACCTTACTAGAAAATACCTCTATAGACACAAATTTCCCAAAATGACTCTGTCAGGCTGAAGAAGATGAAAATGCTAGTGTTTAAAAATTCAACAGTAAGCTCTTTGAATAGGAGAGAAAAGGCAGAGGAATGTTCCAAGGAAAATAATTGTGTCCCTTTTTTATTTTTATGGTGATAGGATTTAAAACAATAATGTACTTCAGACTAAAAATAAGGTAAAAATAAAATAAATAACAACAAATCCATAACAACACTTCATAGACTTTGAGGAAAGGGAATCTTGAGAAGCAGGGGAGAATAAAACAGATATCGGACTCTTTTTCACGCAAAAATCAATATAAACATTTCTCACTTCTAATATCTCAGCCACTCATCTCATTTTTGTGGAGTTCCTGCCTCCTGTTAGTCTCATTCCTGATTCAGTATCATGCTGTAAGAATTGCTGTTTCTTAAAATAAATGGTCTCAGACAAATGAACATCTCTCATAACTTCAGCTACTCTAGAATCTGTGATAAAAATCAGTGATTCCAAATTCTCAGTGATTTTCATAGGAAGTTAATCATAGAAAGATATTATTGACTATTTTCTTATGTCCATAGCCTCAAGGCAAACTTGAAAAAGACAAATGTACCCACAGATTTGCCATTAAGTCCCTATCAAGTGACTCCCCAGATAGCTGTACCAGTATCTGTGGTTTATAACAATGTAGTCTATTCAAAGTAGATTTCCATTGCACTATGAAATTACTTGTACCTTTATGGTTTGTGAATTTACACAGAGCACATACAGAGGATGATTCTCCTTTTGCTTTCCTTTCTCTATGCCCTCAATGAACTTCCTTGAAAGAAGAGACTTGGCATAATTATGGCCAATTCTGATTGGCACAAATCTGCACATGAATCATCAGAAAATGACTGATTTCCCCATACAGCAATGGTGCTTAAGGCTCAGAAAGTGTGAAATGAAAAAGTTAATGTTCTTCTAACAGTGCAATTTAGAATAATGTCAAGAGACCACATGCTATTTTTTCAAACCTTACGTTTAAGAAATAAAATAAAATAAAAATGATGAGTTCCCATTGTGTGAGGCATTTACTGTTTACTATGCAATATCACTCCCTTTCAACTCATCTCTCCATTGTTGAGGGCACTGAGCAGAAGAAGTTGCACCATTAAATGTCATCCCTATAATTCACCCTCAGTGGGCAGGCAAACAGCCCCTTTCACACACCTGAAATAAATGGCTATGGAAGTACTATAAATATTGAGCTCACTTATTAAAAACAAAAAGAAAAAATGATAAAAAGAAACTCAAGAGAGTCTTGCCAAGCTTCTAAGAACCATCCTTGTGGATTTGTATTCTGAAGCACGTGAGCATGAATTCTGTCTCAGGAGAGATTTTTTTCAAGTGAGAGTGCAGATTACTCAGATGGAATTCTCTTGAAGATCCCATCCTTTGTAACTGGCCCTGATGAATGGCACTGCGATGGAAGGGGTATGCGCTTCAAATTGGGGTCTACTGAGAATTCTGCTCTTAGCAGGGCTGGAAACAGCACATGGGAAAGAGCAAACTCTGGTTCTTATTCCACTCTTCTTTGTCACATTCTCCTCTCTTAAATCCAACCCCTATTCCTGAACACTGCTCGTGCCCTGACCCGCAAACTTGTCCCAGTGACATTGCATGTTGTGCCTTCCTTCCTGGGAAAACAGCTATGCCCCGTTTATTTCCTTATACCTTTTCATCATTTATTCATTTTTTTATTTTTAATTTTTGTGGGTACATAGTAGGTGTGTATATTTATGAGGTACATAAGATACTTTGATACAGGCATGCAATGCGTAATACTCGCATTATGGTAAATGGAGTATCCATCCTCTCTGTTTCTTTATTAACTAAACAAATATTTATTCACTAGGTAAATATTTATTGATAGCTCTGTTAGATTCTGCTGATACAAAGATGACAAATGTCTCTCTCTGTTGAAGGATCCTGTCCTAGGTCATGTCCCTAAGAGGTCTGCTATTTAACAGGTTGAATTAATCTGTGTCAAAACTTAAACAAACCTCGTTATCATAAAATGTCAACACCTAAGCCTCTCCCACAACCTCAATCCTTTCATACTTTTTAACAGGGCGCTTCAGTATCTTATCTCTGGAGTTACTAATGAGGGAACTGGGAGCACAGAGGCAAGGTCAGCAATGGTCCAGATGCCTCACCCTAAGGCCATTTCTCACCCTAATATATATACAAACCAGAGTGTGAAGCCATAAGAAATTAGGGAGTCAGGTTCCATGCCAAAAGTGAAACTACAGCTAATGTGTTCCTGCAGTGTGGGTAGTATACTTCTTCACTTAAACTTAAGTTTTCTTATTGATGTGTACTCTCAACCTATACTACTAGATCACTGTAGTAAGAGATTACCTGTATTTTTTTCTGTGATTAGGGAAACCAAACTACACACACACACACACACACACACACACACACACACAAAACATATCTTCCAAAATATTAACAGTGGTATGTTTACCATGCTTTTTTCCTGCTGCACTTTCATAAACCAAACCTGGAGGAAAACGTGTATTAATTTCGAATTTACCTTTTTTTCTCCCACACTTGGTAGAAAAAACAGGAGCTCAGTAAGTATAGAGAAAATTCATTATTCCCTTTGCTAAAAAGAAGAGGCAAAGTGTTTGGCCACTATTCATATGCCTTTGATTGATCTTTTCAAGTCTTCCTAGCTTCAGAAAGGTGGAAATTGCTGGTCCCTTCAATTCTCTGCTGTTCAGTCACGACTATAAGTAATTTACCTAAATGTACCCCCATAGCCCTCTTATTGCATAACACAACTCAAGGAATTTTAGTGGTAGATTGTCTGCTGTGCCTAGTGGTAGAGTATGCAAGATAATAATGAAATAGTGATGCCACTTGAAAATCTTGAGTGCCAAGTACATACATAGCACTGCTTTATTATGGTAGCCTCATTCTATTTAGATGTGAAAAAAGTATTTTAATTTATGTCTCAAGCTATATAAAGAATTGGTTTTTAAAGAGTTTCTTGTTTATATAAGTGCTCAAATATAACTTTTAAAAGATTCTACTTTCACATAATTTTAAAACTTTTGTTTGGAACAATTAGTGATAAAATTTTGCAGAATTTCCCAATGGGAAGATACTCTATGAGCTAAGTAGACTATGTTAATGTGAAAAATTAATAAACTTCTTTCATGGTTCCAGGTGGGTCAATAGAACTGAAACTCTCCATTTTACAGCACTCTTAGTAACCCAACATAACATCTGTTGAAACACCACATAGAGAAATAGTGCTTTAGGATGTTCTTGATTAAAGCCAGGAGACCGACCAGAGTGACAGAATTCCTTGATTTTCAAAATGCTTTTGCACATCTCAAAGTTACAATTGCCCATCTACAACACTGCAGATGTCGAGAACCCAGTTGAGAACCCAGTGGAGTGGTGAAAATTGTGTGTGTATATTGAATGGGAGGATGGGGAGCAAGCTGCCAATCAGTAAGAAACTCTGGCCCCTGGGATCTGTTTTTTGAAACTGGGAATGGTTAGCAGCAATAACAGTGGCATCTAATCAGTGAATCTATCTGTATTGCTGTTCTACCTGAAAGCCTTCATTTTTCCATTGGCTCTTAATACTAATATTTGTGAAAAGGAGTGAATAGGGATAGTCAAGCTTAAAATTTGGCATCTAAATACCCATTCAAAACTCACCAGGTGAAAATCGAAATAGATAACCTCTTAAGCTGAGTGATTTCTGGAGGCACCATAGTATTTACTGCCACTGTAAAGGAAAGAGGAAGAAGATGTTCTAAATTTTAACTCTTCTTGAATATAGGTGGACAGTGGTTCCTGTTCCATATAGCCAAGACCTAGTGGTTAAATTTTGCCTGGGAAGAGACAAGTGGGATAAGCATAAAAAACCATGTAAATCAATCCCCTGTGATATGTCAACAAAAATACAATTTTAAAATAAACCTCATTGATTCATTTCTTCTTTCCTCTTACAACAATAAAACTCTAGTTAGAGGGAGAATTAAAAGACCTGTACAATCCTATCTGCAGAATATGCGCCCCTATCTTTAACCATCCAGAGGCTCTTCTTATTTAAACTGGTCCTTTGAGGACATCTGTCTCTCTTTTGAGGTTGCCCCTCAACCTTTTCACTATTTCTGGCTCCATCTGTTTCAGCCTATTTCCAGCTGCTGTTCAGAGGAAAGGCCATAGTAATTATCTCCTTAACACATAATTTATCTTGCTGTGACCATCTTTGGATTGCCAAGACTGCCAGCCTGTGGAGAGCCCCAGTGTGTCCTCTTTCTGCCACATGACTATAAACTACCCTGAACCCTCCACATCAGGCAGGATGCACTCTCTCTTCATGCCTCTGCTCAGCTGGATGTTTCAGAGCCCTATCTCCCATGGAGATGTCTTCCCCATTTGGCAATTTGCCATCTTAATGAGACTGGAACATTTTTCTTTCTAATATTTAAAATTATATTTTAAAAAGTAATGCCTACTTCATTGTGAATACCTATACAGTAGTGGTCCATAGTTAAAAGAAGAAAAGTAAGATTTAGCCTTTACAGGAGGGATCAATTTCCAGTAACACTAGGCAAACTTCTTCACCATTCAGAGGATCAGTTTCTCCATCTATAAAATGGGAAATTTAATAATTATCTCAGAAGGTTGTTCTGATAATTTTTGTTTTCATTTTTTTGAGGCAGAGTCTTGCTCTGTCACCCAGGCTGGAGTTCAGTGGCATGATCTCGGCTCACTGAAACCCCTACTTCTTGAGTTCAAGTGATTCTTGTGCCTCAGCCTCCTGAGTAGCAGGGACTACTGGTGCGTACCACCATGCCTAGCTGATTTTTGTTTGTTTGTTTGTAGTTTTTAGTAGAGATGGGGTTTTGCCATGTTGGCAGGCTGTTCTCGAACTCCTGGCCCCAGGTGATCCACCCACCTCAGCCTCCTAAAGTGCTGGAATTACAGGTGTGAGCCACCATGCCCAGCCAGTTCTGAGAATTTAATACAGTAAAAGAAAGAGCAGAATATTCCATATTTTAATGTACATAGGAAGCCCCTGGAAATCTTGTTACAATGGAGATGGTAAGTTGGTAGGTCCGAGATAGTGAGGTGGGTCCCAGGATCGCATATGTAACAAGCTTTCCAGGTGATGCTAATGCCACAAAGCATGAGCAGCATGTTGAGTGGCAAGAATGGAGAGCGTCATGTAGAACTGCATAAAGGGCCCTTTTGTTCCCTAGCATCCAGGAGTCATTCATGACAAGGTTTGCCACTAATGTCTGTCTCAAAATGCACATGACCAGAATCATTTATTTCAGTGAAGTCGTAAACATGGGAGCAGGCTTTCCAGAAGCCACTATAAAAAATAGTCACATATATTACTTGGGGGTTTCCCCTAGCTCTTTCCTTCTCTCCTTAGTCCAGATGAACTTTGTGACACTCATGTCCACGTATTTCAAAAACAGTCCTTGTGTTTTCTCTTTTCGGGTCTAGCCCTCTGAGTGGGTAAGAGAGAATCAGTGGTTGAATTAAAACTAAGATCTGAGGGGCAGAGGGATCCGTGTGTGATAGGCATCCCAGAGTTTCCGGAGAACTCCGGGCTGAATGGGTAGAGGAAGAATAGAGACAATGTCCTACTGGGGAGATGGTTGCCATGGGTCATCTGATCGTTTAGAAGGCCTGTTTGGTTCAGCGGGCAGGATTGTGTATATTTGATTGGAGATGGGACTTCCTGAGATCTCCCCCTGGGCAGGTGCTCCGTCACTCACAGATAGAAACTGATGCAGGGAAGAAGCAGAAGAACAGTGATCAACTGAGAGTCTATAATGGAGTTTCCTGCCCCAACACGGGGCAGCGAGACTGATGTGCCTCTTAGTGAACATGCCCACAGAGGCCAGAACAAACCTGGCGGCAGAAATGGCAAATATCAATCTCAAGGGCGGCTGGCAGCCTAACAGGTGGCCCAGGAGGAAAGGCCAGGAAGGTGGATTGCTGTCACTATCACCGTTGAGATAAATGGGAAAGACAGCTCAACCCTTCAAGAGGGTGATGAGAAACCAGTCAGAGCTGGGTGAGCATCTGAGCAGTCCTGAAAGTGACAAAGCTGCAGGGATTAGAGAGCATTAGCGTGTGTGTGGTCCCATCCACCCGAGGCTCTGACGAGGAGGCAGCCACAGCCAGGCAGACGGGAGATATGGAGATCTTACTACATACCCCACCCATGGAAAAGGCCATTATGAAATAGAGAAGGGCTAAGTGGGGTACAAGGGAGGCTGCTGAAGGAAGACAGATCTATTTAGCACACACACACGTGCACACACACACACAGGCAAGAGGGACTGGGAGTTTCTTGGTGCAGAAAAGCAATCAACAAGGGAACAGGGAAAACTGCTGAAGGATAAATATTATAAATGGCAAAGGCCTGACAGGTTATCCAGGCAGGAAGATGAGCAGATTAGAGAGGGGATTGAAAAGGCACCAGCATTTTTACTGGCCTCTTTGGGCCAGAATGTGAGGGCCCACATGCGAAGAAGCTAATGATACCAGAGAGACAAACTCAAGTCTGGAAACAGCCTAGGATTTGAATAGAAAACTATGAGATAACCGAATCACCTAGCCCTAGTGAGGCACTATGATTACTCGCAAGAAAGGTAAAAATAAAAGCAAACATTGCAATCTACAGGACATATGTGTACAACAAAGATTTACTGGTATGAGGAATATATGCTGTGGTCTGGGGGTACAGACAATGTTATCGAAACTGCAGAATCAGGGAGGCCTCCAGAGGGACGGGCGTGGGGAGGTGTGGGGCAGTGACTAGGTGTCTAGTATGTAACAGTGTTAATAAAATAAAAGGGCATAATCTTGAAGAGAAATTTATAGTGATACATCTAGGAAATAGCAAATAATAACCAAATGGTTCCAAGTACCCTAAACTATTTTGCATTTCCAAAGGGTCTCTGGTTTAAAAAAAAAAAAGAAAAATTAAAAACTGCTGGTTTATTAGCATTGACACATAAGCAAAAGTGAAATGGAGAACAAATTTAATTACCAAAAATAGTTTATGCAGCATATCACCACTGTTTTATCAGTATATTTTCTCAAAAATAGTTTTGTAGGAAGTTGAATTTTATGGATAATTGTAGCAATTTAACATTTTATCTCAATCAGGGTTTCTCAAAGTGGGCATTATTGACATTTTTGGGCACTCTTAGCATTTTGGGCCAGGTAATCCTTAGGTGCAGGGGGCTGCCCTGTGTGTTGTAAGATGTTTAGTAGCATGTTTGGTCTCTATCCATGATATGCCAGAAGCAACCCCTAGTTGTGGTGACCAAAAATATCTCTAGACATTGCCAAATGTACCCAGGAAAGCAAAATTTTTCTCTTTACACCAGTGGTGTAAAGTATATCTAATTATAGCCAGCTAACTACATAGGTAAATCCAAGGATTACAGTTTTAGAGAAATAAACACTTTTATGCATTGATTACAATATGGATTACATAACTATTCAACCCCTTCTAAGGATTTTTGAATATTCTCTGATTATGCAAGAAAGCCTGCTAATCAATAATTGAAATGGCTTTACACCACACATTTGATTAGGAACTACTGCTTACATGGCACTTTTTTCCCTTGGACCTACATGTGTGATTTTTTTAACCACCATGGTCTTATGACTGACATTCTTAGGTTCAACTCTTATGGTCTATATCACAGGGAAACCAGACAACACTTGAGTCTCTGCATGTAATTATTATTAAAAGATGAATCCTAAAATTTGCAAGAAACCTACTTGATTCATAGTGTTGAATAAGACAAAAATAGGACTTCCCATGTATAAAAGCGTTAATTATTATTGATAACAAAATGAAATAATCAGATTTAAAAAGGGGAATCCAGAGTTACATTTAAAGAATAGATTACCAATAACCTCTTGATGTATACTACAATATCTTTATAACTTTGTTTTTTCATCAACTACAACAAATACATACTTCTAATGTAAGTGTTAGAATTCATACATGGTTCCCATTATGTGTTTCTGTCATGATGACTAACCAATTTTTAGTGTATATAAAAAACAATTCATTATTTGCCAAATTGTTGTGTATTGCAAGAGGTACAAAATTGGACTTGATGTATTATAAAGAGCACTGAATTAGCTCAAAACTCTAGTCCCAGAATATACTGATCTTTGAGCCTTCATTACCTCATCTGTAATATAGCACTAATAATAACCATTCTGTCTTTCTCACCCAAATGATATTCAAATGAACGAATGGATATGAAAGCAATGTGAGTACTGTAAACAAATATAAATTAATAAATTCAAACATGATTTTGAAATTGAAACCCCTTCCACCCAAAGTTTTCAATGAACACAAGTGGGTTTAATTTTAAAATATTACTGATCGCAAATTAACCCTAATTAATAGATTTTCTATTTAGTTTCCTAAATATACAGCTCTCAAATACCTGGTTAAATAATTTCAGGGATATTAAAAATGAATATAATGCTCACATCATCCATAAACTTCATTAACAAGAATAATCTCATTTGATGTTCTAATAAAGATTAGTAAAAAATAAATAAATTTGTGACACTCTTCAGATTCTTTGTTGTTTTATTTATTTGCTTATGTCCCCATGAAAGGCCAGATGTTAGAGTGCAGAGGGAAACTGAAAGATGGAAGCACAGGACAGAATTACCGTTTGCCAATTTCCCTCTATCAACTCTCCAGAGAAGGCAATATCTGGGCCAGTATAAGCCACAGGTGAGCTCAGGCGGCACTCCTGCACACTGCAGGCTTCAAGATAAATCCACTCGTAGTACTCAGTTTAGGCTATGTAGCTTAAACATAAAAGAGTGATAGTGTATTTAATCGCAATGTCCATAAGTGATTATCAAGTATTAAACTCCTTTCAAGTTTGACTTGTATTTATCCGCAGCCAATTCTCCTTGAATTAAAGAACCATTTATGCAAATGCAACATGAAGCAAAGGAGAGAGATAAAGAGCTGCCTAAGACCTCATAAATGATGACATTCATCCTGTCTGATATTATTTGTTTTTCTTTAATAAAATTATATTATACACTGTCAAAAGAACCACTCCCTTGCACGAAGAGCAACAGAGGGTGCTTAGGCAAAAATTAGATGTGAGAAGCAGGAGGGACATTCCTTTATTTGGTCCCTCTTGAACATAAAAGGAATATAACATACATCAAATCAGAATAAGAAGAGCACATCAAAGAAGCTACCAATCCGCCGCTGAGCTGCAAATGTCCTCGTACATCAAAGGAGACCCAAGTCAGCAGGAAAAACCTCCAGTTTCAGTAGCCAGACCTGAGACCTGAGCCTCTCCACTCCTGATCATGAGAGCCATGCATTATTAAATAACCAACAAGACACGTGCAACACGGTGGAGATAAGCAGTGGTCAATGAAACCCAGGGAGCTAGTGATGAGGGGCGACAAAAAGGAGCAGCAGTGATTTCAAAGCTTGAACAAGACCAAAAAATATATAAAAGCCATCAGGGAAAGAAGATAAAAGTGGCAAACAGTGCAGCAAAGTGTGTGCTAGAGATAAAATAGGAGGAAGAAGAATCAGCAGAGGGAGTTCTGACATTTCCGATGCTTTACTGAAATGCTCTTGGGTTTCAAAGGTGTCAGAGTCTGAGGGATGATTTCTCTAGTTGAGCTCC